>NW_003315914.1:0-164536 GCF_000001405.40 Homo sapiens | reverse complement strand
ATGAACAATACAGGAAGAAGAAAAAGAAGTTTTTTTTGTTTGTTTTCTGTTTTACCCAAACAGTCCAAAGCTTAATGATGTAAACCCAATTTCAATACCGGATTATATAAATATAACACCTCAGGCCATGATAATAACAAATTTTCAGAATGGTCAATAGAGTGACACATAGGTAACTCCAATACTCTTTATGAAATGAGCACTTGCTACAGAAATTGAATCGAGCCTGTCAAGTAAATGGCCTTTATACATAAGGAAGCTAGGGAGCTGTGGAATAAAGTGAGTAACTAGAGAAAAATTATTACTAATACAGACAGAGTCTTCATTTTCTAAAATACAGAGACCTACTATTGTAATAAAAATGTAATTTAATTTATAAAAATTCAATTTACAAATGTATTTTCCTGTGTAATTTTCAGCAGTTTATAGATGTATCTGTGACAGTGAAAATGATTATTACATGGAACCACCATGCAACTCAGCAATTGTACTGTTAGGTATTTATCCCAGAGAATGAAGGCTTACAGTTACACAAAAACCTGTACACAAATGTTCATAGCAGTTTTACTCATAATAGCCCCAAACTGGAAATGACACAAATGTCCTTCAACAGGTGAATTGTTAAAAAGAAAAAAAAAAAAACCTGTAGTATATCGATACCATAGGACACTACTCAGCAATAAAAATGAAAGAATTATTGATACACAATGATAAGGATGAATCTTCAGAGAAATATGCAGACTGAATAAAGCCATTCCCAAAAGGTTACATACTACAAGATTATATTTATATAATATTTATGAAATAACAAAATTGTAGAAATAAGGAACAGATTGGTGATTTCCAGGGGTTAAGTTTAGGGAAGGAGTGAGCTGGAGGGAAATGGGTGCAACCACAAAAGGTAAATGAAGAAATCATTGTGGGGATAAAAATGTTCTGTATCTTGACTGCATCAATTTCAGTTTCCTGATTATTATATTATAGTTTTACAAAGTGTTATCATTGAGGTAAACTGACTAAAGCCTACATAGGATCTCTCTGTATGATTTCCTTACAACTGCATGCGAATCTATAATCATCTCAAAATAGAAAGTTTAACTCTAAAGAGGTGTTTATAATAAACTTTAATTTTCAATTTAGAAATTCTTCTATTTTCTACATGAAATCCCAAGGAGTTAGGTATGTTTCATATAATTTTAAATTAAGAACATGTAGAGTATTATCATTAAATACTAGTCATTCAACTTTCAAATGAACAGGTGCATGGAATTGTTACCATGGAATTATACATGCTAGTTGAGCTTCTGATGTATTTTTGTGTGGGGCCAAACAAATGATAAAGTTGTTCTAATTACTGAGTATTAGTAAATATTCTTTAAGTGGAAGCATTTTAAGGCCAAATAGTACTTTTCTAAATGTCTCTCTAGTCCACACAAACTTCTCTAGAATTGTTATCACTGAAAGGCATTTTTACTACTGCTACATTGAATGTGCCGCTATATCAATAACTCTGTTCAGTGGGTGACATTGCAAGCTTGGACAACAATTGGGAAATACTCTTGCCAGCAAAAGCATGCAAACCATTCCTCTTCTCCTTCCTGGTAGAGGACACTAATTAGGCACAATATAAGTTGGCAGCTAAGAAAGAATAGAACACAGAAACCAAGATATATAATTATGAGACCCCAAAGACTCACTACAAGTCTCAGGTCCACACAAATGGATAAAAATAATTCTGAAGTGAGGGGTACAAAATACAGACATGAGGAGAGGAAGTAACCCTCTGAGCCAGGTCACTATAACGTAAAAATCAACAAAGGACAATCTAGACCAAACCAGAGCAAAGCACATCTTTCAAGAACTCTGGCTAACAATGTATTATTATCTTTGCTTAATTAAGGCAAACTGAAAGTTTATGTCCAACTCCCACATATATCATGTGCGGTTGTCTATAAATCATGCATAAATTACTTATAGAAATTAATTCTATTCAATTAATACATTAATTGAATAAAATGTCTTATTTCTAAAATGAAGACTTTTTTCAAAACCCAAGTTCTTTGTAATGCACTTTATTCAGCATATGACCATAAGCTCTACGGAGTTTCAATTTTAAGAATAAAATGGAGAAAGTAAAGAACATTAAAAGATCAGTGACAGGCTACAAAACAAAATATTCTGCATAGGACATGGTCAAAGAAAGTAGGGTGCTGGCCTAGGGAAGGGTTAAATCAGGGACTGGAGCTTTCAGACTTCAAATATCTGAATGTCTCTCAGGTGCAGTGAAAACTGTTGAATGGTCATGAAGTTGGCTCAACACAAAGTTCAAAACCTTCCCAATGAAGTAGCGGAGTTTCTTGGAAGGTAAGTTCTCAATTGTTGTCCAAGCAAAGTCTAATCAATTATTGAGTAATTATATTGTGTAATGTGTATAATTATATTGTATAATGTGCATTAGATAAAAAGTTATACTACATGAAAGTAAGTGACCTAATAGTTTGTAGTAAACACAGTGTATGTTTGGCAATTACCACTTCAAGGAACTATGTCATACATTATTTATTACTTGCATAATGTCTGTCTTTCACCGGAATATAAGATCCACTGGGAAAGGGGCCTTGCCATTCTTACTCCCCACTCTATTCCCATGCCTGGGAAATGATAGGTTCTCAATGAATGCTGATGTATGAACAATGGCATTTCATTTAACCATCAGTCAACCCTGTGAAGTAGACACTGCTAGCCCCATTCCATAAATGATGAAAATTAGATTCACTAAGGTCTAATAAGTTGTCCATGTTTTCCCACCAGAACTAACCAGCCTTGACTCTAAAACCCATGCTTGTTACGCTACGTTTGAAATTTTCAGGATGGAAAGAAGCCAAAGAAAAAGCAATAGGTAAATAATTCTGGTGTGCTGCTGTATAGAATCTTCCTCTTTCCCTGCCTCACTTGTTGCCATGGTTTCTTTTATCAGCACACCTACCAATGCTAACTTAGCTATCAACATAGCCACTGTACTGAAAATAGGAAACATTTCAAATAAATTAGAGTGAGGTGGGTGATCTATTTATACCTCCAGTTATATTTCTTCACCGCTCTCACTTTTGATGTGCAGAAAATGGAAATTAGGAAACAAATACAAGATTCTACTTCAAGGTATATGTGCCATGTTAGCAAATTTCAAAGTTTCAGTACCCCTGGCATGCAGTGCAATACTGGGCAAACAGTAATGCTTTATATTTAGATTTAGCTTATGTAACACAAATATTCCATACCTTTCTATATTTTTAGTGGGGTGAAGGGTGATATCAAGGCATTTATCTTCAGTTGTTATTTTCTTCATTCAATATGAGGCTTTAACTCAGTGGTTCAGAAACTTTAAATCAAATAATATAAAACTTTGTAAAATAGTAGAATATATGAGGAAAGAAAATATATTTTATATGCCTATATCTTGGAAATCTTGTTTCTTTACCTTAAAACAAAATCATAATTTAATATTATAAAACATTAGATATAGAAGAAAACATAAAATCATGAGCTCCAGCTTGGTCATTTTGCAATTGTGAAAGGTGAGGCTCAAAGAGTTTCAGTAGTCTGCATTGCAGAGCAAGTTTGTGGCAGGTTAGAAACAAAACAGAAGTCCCTTGGCTTCCATTCTAGTGCTTTTCCCTCCAAAACACCTTGCTTCTTGTCTTCTAGAGGTGCCCCAATAATTTATTATAAAAGAACTGGAACACGTTAGTTCTCTTCAAAGCACAACTCATGCCTAATGCAATGTTTAAAAGCAAATATTTTACATTTAAGCCAACATAAAGAAATCAACAGAAATAAAAATAAAACTTCTGCAAGTATAAGGAAAATACTTACATTTTGATACATTCACTACATTTAGATAGTTGGCTTCTGTATTTGACATTACTTACATAGTCTGAAAGGTAGCTTCTCTATTAGTGAAAAATATATCTATCTCACACATGTACTTGAGTAGAATCCCTCTCTCTCTCTCTCACACACACACACACATGCACACATGACAAAAGAGGTGCAAAGCAGAGCCATTATTAATTTTGTAATGAGAAATGGGAGCACAGAGGCCTTTGATCTTTGCATGCCATGCACATGACCAACTGGTATTTAATGCAGTTCAGGAAAATAAAGCAAATCAAAGTAAAGCATTTTTAATTAGTGGTTTCACTATGTGATTAATGATGCCTTTTTAAAGAAAATGCCTGTACCAGTAAATGAAAAATGCATTCTTTCTAAAAGCTGGTTTCTTCTACTTAATGACTTCTTCTAATAGGCAGATAAATTAAACAACAACGTATGAAACCTATTAGCCTGAACATTTTCACAGGGAACGAAATTGAATGTTGTGTTGCAGGTTGTTGATCAACTAATCTGAAAGTAATGAAACAACAACATCATACAAAGGCTTCTGTTAAAAAGGCATGCAACTAGCTTTAAAACAAATACACAACAGAGCTGAATCTTATTTGCATAACAAAATAAGCTGTACTAAAATAAAAAGCACATTACAAAAGAGCTTAAATTAGCCATTAAAAAACAATTCTGTTTGTGTTAATATGCTTTATTTATTTAAGGCAATTTTAACCCTATTTGACATGTCCAGAAAACAAAGCATATTCCAAGAAAGGTCAACTAGGTTGTGAAATATCGGATTAATTTATAAAACACTGGCAGTCTACAGAATTCAAAGTCAGAGACCTCTTAACATTCAGTTAAAAAAAAGTGGCTTTGTTAGTTGAAATAGTAAATAAAGACTTGGCTGCTGGCAGAGCTTAGCAGTTTCACAGATGAATGTCCTTGATGTAGCCTGAACCTCACTGAGCCTCAGTTGACTCATCTATAAATTGAAGATCATAATATTACCTACTTCAGAGAGTTAAAGCGAAGTGTGAGATGATACAAGTAAAGCATTTAATACGTGTTAGCTATAGATAACATTTTTATTAACCATCATTATTATACTATATGCCAATAAAAATTGGTTAATATCTTTACCAATTAATTATGCTTACCACCATGTAATAGGGCCAAAAAAGCAAGGATGATACACCTGCTCCTTTGAAAACTTGGTCAATTTCCCCTATGCTGTTTGTAGAAATAAATTTCCAAAATAAAACATAAATATGACAGCTGGTATGAGAGTCTTCCTGAGGCGGTCATATATCATCCATAAGTAGATGTAGAATTGGGTACGTTCTAACTTAACATGCCTTAAATTTACTTTTTTGGGGGTGAGGTTACTTGCTTATTTAGAGAGTGTTTATTAAATATATTTTGATACACTATACAATAGTAAACGTTTCCTGAAAACTATTCTCAGAATATAAAGTGTCGAAAGCTCTTATGTCCTTACTCATTACCTACTGATATCCTACTCATCCTTCAAGGCATAAATGCTATAAAGATATATGCCAATGTCAAAGTCAAATTAGGTTGTTCTTTTCAATCTTGTAGAACAGTGAGTTCATTTTATCTCTGTTTCGGCCCTTCTTTCATTGTGCTTCCTTTTACAATTGTCTCCTTGTATAGATCCACAGGCTGTGATCTGAAATGACATCAGAGTGCATTTCAATCACCTTGCTGGGGTGTCCAAACTTTTGGCTTACCTGGGCCACATTCAAAGAATTGTCTTGGTCTACAAACACTAACACTGACAGCTGATGAGCTAAAAACAAAACAAAAAAGGGTCCGTCCATAATTTTTGTGATATCTGCCACCAGAGATAAGCAAAAATGTCCTCACATTCAAAGGGTTAGAGACGGCTGCCAGAGGACTTAGGATCCTGTTGACATGATCTGACTCATTTTCTTCTCTGTTCTCTCTCTGAACCAAGTGTCTATTGCTCAGACTCCAGCTCACTACCATTTGTGCCTGCAACTATCTGGAAGGCTCTTTTTCTGGCTCTTATGTGTCCTCATCCTTCTGGTTCCAGCTAAAAACTTAGTCCTTAAGAGAGACTTTCTCAGTCCACACTTTCAAAGTATCCAAGGCACCATCATTTCTTACCTCACCATAGCAGTAGCTTCATGTCTGTTCTTCCAGTCTCCCCATACATTCTTGACACGCATCGTTGCTGGAGCAGCCTGTGATCATTTAAAAATTAGGCAAAGGAAGGAAGAAGGTGACAGCTTCATGGTTTTGGAAGGTCCCTAACTCTCCCACAAAAACAAATACAGCAAAAGAGAGGAGGAAAAAAGCCCACAGAAAAAATACATGTAGGAAAGACAAATGACAACGTATCGCCCAAGACTTCCAAAACACATGTGCATGCGGTCAAGCCACCGGAAACAAAATGATCCACTGGTTATCAGTAACCATGTGAAAAAACGTAGGGGAACAGCCAATACACATCAAAGAGTTCTAGGACCTATGGGGGAAAAAATCACAAATAGGTAGCAATCCTCAAATTTAGGGGTGTCCACTTAGCGTGGAAAGTTCAATTGGCTAATCTGAAAACTACAGCCAAATCTGCAACTAGTCTTCACTTATGGGATGTGCAAGGGAAACTCACAAAGTTTGGAAGAGTCTGGACCCTATAAACTAACCAATCTAAGCAAGATGCTCTTAGGGAAAATAACCCCATAAAACAGTAAGGAAAGAAAAACAACATTAACCAAAAGAAAGAAGAAGAGAACGATTTATAAGTTAAAAGTAGTAATGAATGAGTTTGAAAATAAAACAAAAACAGAAAATAGGTGAATATATCTAACTCCGATTCTACAAAAAAAAAAAAAGAAAGAAAACCCAAACAGAAAAACCACCAGCCAATCTAATCAAGCAAAAATGAGGAAAACACAAGTACACAAAATCACAAGAAAACCGTGAAATTGAAGAAATGTATGGAATGATACTACTTTTTATTAGGTTATGCAAATGAATCAAACATGAAATATATGATTTTTTGGAAAACACATTCTTAAAACATTTATAGTATACATGGCGTAGTGGGATGCACCATTAGGTTCTTTATTCTATTATGGATGCACACAGGCATACACACACAAGGGCACACATGCACACACACAAGTGCACACACACACACACACACACACACAATGGTGCAATCCTGAAGGCAGAAACCTGAATCTTTCACGTTTTCTGTAATGTATTCTTCATTAGGTGGAAAAAAAGTCAAACAATAATTTCCAGAGTTGTATGGGAAATTTTTTGTCCTACACAAGAAAGAAAATCTGTTTTCAATTGGAACTTTAAGCAGAAAGGGCCCCAGTTGCTTTAAGCTCCCCTTCTCATTACCACATAATAAAAAGAATTCTTATCTCTAGCAGAAAAAACGCAGTCACAGAAGAAAACACAGGAAGAGGGATGTTCAGGGTGTAGAGGGAGAAAGCTATAGTATCACTTAATTGTAGTACTTTATAAGCAAAGGAGAGCAAATAAAAATCTTCCTCAGTAATCAAGAGACTCACCTAACACAGAAGGACTCCCACAGACTTAAGGTAAAGGGGTGGAAAAAGACATTTTAGACAAACGGACACCAAAAATGAACAGGAGTAGCTATTCTTATATCAGACCAAACAAACTTTAAAGCAACAGCAGTTAAAAAAGACAAAAAGGGACATTATATAATGATAAAAGGCCTTTTCCAACAGGAAAATATCACAACGGTAAGCATAAATGCACCTAACACTAGAACTCCCAAATTTATAAAACAATTACTAATAGACCTAAGAAATGAGATAGACAGCAACACAATAATAGTGGGGAACTTCCATACTCCACTGACAGCACTAGACACATCATCAAGACAGAAAGTCAACAAAGAAACAACGCATTTAAACTATATCTTGGAACAAATGGACTTAACAGTTATATACAGAATGTTCTATCCAACAACCACAGAATACACATTCTATTCAACAGCACATAGAACTTTCTCCAAGATAGACCATATGATAGGCCACAAAACGAGCTTCAATAAACTTAAGAATATTGAAATTATTTCAAGCACTCCTCAGACCACAGTGGAATAAAACTGGAAATCACCTCCGAAAGGAACCTTCAAAAACATGCAAATATATGGAAACTAAATTACCTGCTCCTGAATGATCATAGGGTCAAAAATGAAATCAAATGAAAGTCAGCGCCTGGCCGACTTTTTTATCTGTGTGGCTGTGGGCATGTCTTAGGGAAGACGCCTGTGCAATTTCCCTTATCTGTGCCACAGGGTGTTCTTTTGTTTGAAAGAATCTAACTGAGGACCCACCCTAACTGCCTACCGGACAGGTTTCTTCCTTTCTCCTCTCCCATCCATATATTATTTGCTATATAACAAAATTAAATATATTTCACTTAAGTCTTACAAAATTTAAAGAGTACAGAAATTAGGTTCTAAAGACTTCATGAAACTAAGTAAATCACCACATGAATTTTGTTCAAATACCATTATCTGATTCAATTTGTGAGCCTGGATATATTTTTCAAATAACACTTTTTTTTTTTTTTTTTGAGCTAGAGTCTCACTCTGTTGTCCAGGCTGGAGATGGGGTTTCACCATATTAACCAGGATGGTCTCCATCTCCCAACCTCGTGATCCACCAGCCTTGGCCTCCCAAAGTGCTGGGATTATAGGTGTGAGCCACCACGCCCAACCACATGTTCTTTAATAAATAAAGTTTGTATAGAACTTTAATGGTTGCAAAATGCTTTTATGAACTCTGAAAGGAAGAGTGATGTTACTATTTAGTATTAGAAAACAAGTGACTTGCCCAATATATCTTGTCTAGTTTACATTTCCATTTACAAACGGACTGTTTTCTACATCTTTTCATGGTATGTCTGCTTTTTAAATTTAAGACAAGTTGATGTGTTATATGAGATTATTTCAGGTTATTCAGGCTATTTTATACCTGTGGCCATTGCTACATAAGTGCCACTTGAGTTCCCCATCACTGAAGCAGCAACACAAGCACACGCCCATTTATCTAAAAAGCCCCTGGTGAAACCACCTTCACAAAAATTATAACAGAAAATTGTGACAGTGAACGAGATCAGACTTAACCAACTCCATCTTGCTTCTAACCTTAAGCTATCCTTGTTCATTCTTGGGTGTAGGCTAAACTAACCTTGGAAAGGAATTTAGTTTACGATTTGACTCTGAAACAAAACTGATAATAGCTCTTTCCCAAAAAGACCACCTTCTTGCCTGGGGACCAGTCTGCCTTTGCAGGAATAACAAATTAACTACAAGATTAGAAATTATGGTTTAGGGGTCATGCAGCCTTTGGCTGCAAGAGTCTGAACCTCCCAAAAATTATTCCTGGGGATAACATCACTGTTGTAAAACCTGAAATCAGTGCTTGAGATATTTTGCATATCCTGGACTCGATGGATCAGCTGATGCTACCCAGACTGGTAATCTGGTTCAACCAGTTCTGTAATCCCACCCACGGAACAGAAGACAGCAAGAAAACTTCACTTTGACCCCACTGTGATTCCATCTTCAATCCACCAATCAGCACTCCCCACCCCACTTCCCGAGCTTCTTCTCCCCAAATTATCTTGAAAAACTCTGATCCCTGAATGCTCAGGGAGACTAATTTGAGTACTAATAAAACTCCTCCGGTCTCCCGCACAGCTGGTTCTGTGTGAATTACTCTCTCTCCATTGCATTTCCCCTGTCTTGATAAATCGGCTCTGTCAAGGCAGCGGGCAAGGTGAACCCATTGAACGGTTACACTAGGAAGCATCTTGCTCCTAGCTGACAGCCTCTGACTTGGGAATTCTGGTGCTCAACACAAGCTCTGAAAATTTGTTTTATATCTTTCTATAATAAGAGCTGAATTAATGAAGAACTTAGTTCATGATTATTTGGTGATTAAAATTTTTAATTGTCGGCCAGGCGCAGTGGCTTGCACCTGTAATTCCAGCATTTTGGCAGGCCCAGGCAGGCAGATCACCTGAAGTGAGGAGTTTGAGAGCCACCTGGCCAACATGACGAAACCGTCTCTACTAAAAACACAAAAATTAGCCAGGCTTGGTGGTGGGCACCTGTAATCTCAGCTACTCAGGAGGCTGAGGCAGGAGAACCGCTTGAATCCGGGAGAAGGAGGTTGCAGTGAGCCGAGATCAGGCCACTGCACTCCAGCCTGGGCAATAGAGGAAGACCCTGTCTCAAAAAAAAAAAACAACAACAAAAAAAGGAATTAACCATTTGTTACTAGGGATAAAATTGACCAAAGAAAAAGAAGCTAAGTATCTTCTTTAAAACTGCATTTAAAAGGTGGTAAAATTCACATAGCCATAGATAATGATGTGACTTTTGAACAAAGCCTCCTGAATTATGAAACACTCTGATCATTTATTAATATTTAATCCATTTTTATTTAGAATAAAACATGTATATATCATAAATAAAATTAGGTTTATAAAAATATCTTAAAAATGGCTTTAAGCTTATCATTTTCATAATTAAAATTGTTTTTAATTTGCAAAACAGGATTTTCTGTCTTCTAGTGTAGGGAAGTTTAAACTTTCCCTCTGAAGGAATAATGAGGTCTGCTGAAATAAAATAGCAATAAACAGATTAGCAGGAGAAAAAACATGTTAGTTACATGCATGCACACAGGAACCTCACAGAAGAATACGAGACTCAAAGGACCAGAGGATTGAAGTTTCTAAGCATAAAGGAATAGCGGCTTGAGCTTTGGAGGGAGGTGGCAACAAGTTGTGAGAGGAAGAGGGGAGGCACTGCAGGGGAACACTGGTTGTCTTACTATGCAAATAAAGACTCTCAGGTGATAAAACTTGTTTGAGGGCAGCCTCCCGGGGAATAAGTGATAGCCAGTCCGGGTGCAGGGATGACTTTTAATCTCCTCTCTGTGATTAATATTCCCTGGGTTTTGGATGAGATTCTTAGGGAGGGGTTCCAGACAATTGCATTCCTTTTGGAAGAACTTCCCTGCGTCAGATAATAGAACTTCAGAGAAAGCCCCTCCCACACTTGTGGAGGAGAAACAAGGGAAAGTCAGAGAGACCTTGATTGTGAGGCAGCTTCTAAGACCTTCCAATTTCCTTTAATTCAAAGCACTCAGAATGCCAAAGCAACATACCTTAAGGTATCATTTTCTGAGCCCCAACACTATTGACTGACTAAACACTAGTCATGTGTTTTGACCTATGGGATCTTGGCTAATTAACTTTCATAAGGAGCTACTGAGTTTATATAAGAATAACATCTTACATAATATTTCAGAATCAGAAAATTGTAAGACATTTACAGGAATCATGTTTACTTTTTCTTCATATTTAGGAAATGGTACCATCTCAACTTAGCATTATAAGAAGTGCTAAAGTATTCTGATTGCTTCAAGTTGGGTTTTATGGGAAGCTGATAATTGTTCAGGATGTTTACTAGAGGAGTGTTCCTGAAATTGGCACCTGTAGAAGAGGGGAAAAAGAAGCCAGATTAGGCAGAGAAGTTGAGCTGAAATGCAGACCAAACAAAAGCCACAGTTGACCTTATATGGAGCTTTAGGACTAAGAAGGATTTTCAAAGAATCCATGTGTAGATCAGTCATGGAATGCAGAATGTCCCTGAAGTACTTAAGACCCAGGACAACACAGTGTTCTTCAACTGAAGCATATGTGGAGACTGATGCCTCGCGGGCATCTTTAGGTTGCACTCCTATCTGCTTAGGGAACAAACCCTTCACCCTTGAAGGGAGAAATACTTGAACAGCAGATAACCTTATTAATTCCTGTGGACTTCTAATGTTTGATGTGGCTGAAGATTCCAATGCATTGTCTAGCCATACGCCTCACCTCTCTTTCAGGTTTGACAGCAGAGGCTTCAGTCTGGTGTAGTTTGTTATTCTAACCCCTCACTTTCCAAGACAGTGCTATTGTATTTGCTATTATTGCTGTCAGAGCTGTCTGTGCATGCTCATATCCCTCAGGCCTTGCTATTTCAGTGTGCCCAATCCCCAAAAGCCTAGATTTCCATCTGCTAATAACTGCATATGCTTGTTAAACAGCTTTCTCCCAAACGTTTGGCAAGCACTCTGTCTGTGCATTGTGTCGTCTAGAAGTGCCAGGGAAATAAAATTCACCCTTTTCCCTGAATCTTTGTCCTCAACCACAGACTACATTGGAATGTCAATGTCACAGCTCTCTCACACCCAGATGGCACGTGTTTTACCCTTACTCACAGTTCCCCAGATGGAGTAAGCTCCAATCACCTGCAATGATAGTTGTCTGGATAACACATAACACTGGCTGCCTTTTCTTTCTGGCTCAATTCTCCATCCTCCAACTGTTATTTATTGCACCTCCCAAAACCACTATTTTCACTTATATCTTTGTCTCAAGGTCTTCAGGGGGAATCCAAACTATCTTTTTATTCTGCAGTTTTCTAAAACAGCTTAAAGTTCTTGGATGGATCCTGGAATCAGATCACCCTGCAGGGTCTCAAATTCAGATCTCAAATTCTCCAGATATTAGAAGATTTGGAGCAAACTACTAAAAAATCTAAGACTTCATTTTCTATCCAGAGTTAGCATAACTCAAGGTTAAAGGCACAGTTCTCCAACTGTCAAATTTGTCTAAGACGCCAACTCAATGAGACTGTCCAACTGTGAGGTTTAAGAGAACTGTCCCCACAATATCACCTTCAGTTCAGACACTAACTGACAGTTTGGGAGTTTCCAGAGCCACCCTCACTTCAGACCAGCTGGCTACACATTTGGGGATTCCCACAACCACCCTCAGGTTTAACAGTTCACTAAAACAAGTCATAGAACTCAGGAAGTGCTGTATTTACAATTACAGTTTTATTATAGCAAAGGATACAAATTAGAACCATCTAAAGAAAAAAATGCGTAGGATGGAAACTGGGAGGATCCCAAAACTTGAATCTCTCTTTGCATCAGGCGTGCATTAAGCTCTACAAATAGATAGATGTGTGACAATATGACCAGAGTATTGGCAACCCAGAAAGCTCATCAGAGTCTCTAGGGGCTAGTGATTTTATTGGGGTTTCATTACATAGTCAGGATTAATGGAATCAGCATCCACACAGTTGAGCTTGATCTCTAGCACCCCAATCCTGGGAGGTGAGGCTGATATCACTTGGCCCCAAACTCCAAAACTAGACAAAACTACAATCATACGTTTTGTCTTTCTGGCATGGCTTGCTCCTTTCTGAGTCATCTCATTGGCATTAATTATCAGATGTGGTACGAGGGGATTACCATGAATAACAAAGACATTCCAATCACTCTCAAAATTCCAAGTGTTTAGAAGTTACTTCCAAGTAACTAAAAACGAAGACCAGACCTCTCTTTGAGCTGTTGTTATTATTATTATTACTATTATTATGTTTTCTTTTTCTGCACATCCTATTTCATTTACCGCTTTGACAACCGCATGTAAAGGCTTTCATAGTACAATTCTCAAAATAAAGTCTTGGTAGTACATATTTGCAAATGGAATACAGAGGCATTCTAGAGATCACTTTTAAGACTTGACAAAATTCAGTTCTATTTGTTTTTCATAAAGACAATTTTAATGTGAAAACAAAATATCAAATAGTAATTTGTGGTACTGAGTGAGTACGTTATGGGTAGAACATCATCTGAAACAAACATTTAGAAAAATATGGAGTGCCAGGTACAGTGGCGTATTCCTATAGTCCCAGCTACTCGAGAGGCTGAGGTATCAGGATTGCTTGAGCCCAGGAGTGCAAGGTTGCAGAGAGCTATGATTCTGCCACTTCACTACAGCCTCAGCAACAGAGTGAGACCCTGTCTCTGAAAAAAAAAAGGGAGAGAAGTATTTCAGAAAGTGATTGTTAGGTTCAAATACAGACAAAATGAAATTAAAATAAAGTTTTTTCTACTTTAATTTTTTTCAAGTTGTTGAGGAAAAAACCATTTTATTTATTTGCTCGTTTTCTTATACTGCATGAAGACATCTGGAAAATAAGTAATATGTCCAGTTATTATCGATCACAAGATATATTTAAACTGTCAGTCTGAGAAAAGTAACTATTAATTGTGTCAACTTGTCCTACATGCAACACCTGTGCTGTGAGAAAATACGTGGAGTAAAATAAATATATGAAGACTATTAAAATCACAGATGAAACTAGTCCAACAAATTCTCATTAACATCTAGACCAAAATGCTCTGTGAAACCAATTTGTATGCTGTCAGGATTGCATGCTTTGTATTCTCTTCATAACTTTAATTTGTTTGCTATCTTTTCTCTATAATCCCTGATATCAACATTAAAAAAAAATCATAATTATAAATTTAAACCTTGACTCTATGTGGCTATTGGTCACCTTTGGCCAAAGTACATAATAATTCATAGTGAATGAATTATAAAGGTTATTTTTATATTTCCATTTGTTGTGCATGTAATTGGTATATCTATTAATTTTCCCAGGGATTTTAAATAATGAATTTTTCATTGATGGGTCACATAATGGAAAATACCTTAAAATGCTTTATCTTATGACTGCACATTATCACGGAATACAACAAAGTCATTAATTTTCAACACCAATCAACACAGTAGCCAGAGTCTGGCTCGGGAATAATGTGGACACATGAATTTGCAAATTTCTCTCTTTTATGTTTTGATATATGTATGTTCATTTCACCGAAAATTTCCTATCTAAGTGTGAGTCCAACTTTGGTCCTTGGGTTGAAAAGCTTATAATGTGGAACTTAAAGAAGCCTATCTTGCTTTTTATAGTATTTTTATTATAATCAGTCCATTTGCTGTGGTTGCTTTTAACAACACTGTGTCTTTGGTGACCTGCAGTTTCACTATAATGTGTCTGGGTATATAAAATCGTTAGGATAGGCTAGATCAGAGGTTGCCAGCCTTGGCACCGATGACATCTTATGGGCTGAAAAAGTCTTGTTGTGGGGGCTGTCCTGTATCTTGTAGGATGTTTAGTAGCGCTCCTGGCCACTGTCCTCTAGATGTCAGTAGCACCACAACGTCTAGCTGTGCTAACCAAAAATGTCTCCAGACATTGACATGTTCCTTGAGAGGCAAAATCTCTGTCTATTGAGAACTGCTGTCTAGTTTAAAAGTGTTAACAACAAACCTCTCAAATATATATCAATAAATAGAGCAACAAATGTTAATGTCTCCTCTATGCCACACATCGATTACAAGTTACCCATGGCTTTGCACCATGTTCCATTAATGTGACATCTAGGCTGACAGAAGAGCCTTAATTTAGGGCATTTCCAGTAATTACGGCAAAAGAAAAAGAAAGAATGGCAAAACATGCTAGCTCCTAAGCCTCTAATCAGAAGAGACATGTGCTGCTTCTGCTTTTATTTCATTAACTAATGCAAGTTACGTTACCACACCCAATATCCACTGGGTGAACAGATATTTTCCTCTGCAGGAAGGAGTAGCAAGTATTTGGGAATAATAATATAGCCTTACACAATGTAGCTATGCTTTTAATTATTTGACTTCTTGAATTTGCAAATTATAATCTCTTATCAACTCTAGAATAGTCTCAGTATGTTTTCAAATATTTTCTCTTTTTATTGTTCTATTCCTCTGGAACTTCAATTAGCGATTTCTTAAACTTTCTAAATCTCTGTATCTTAAAATCTCTTTAATTTTTACATATGCTTATTTTTTAGTGCATTCTAAACAATATCATTAGATTTTCCTTTCAGGTCACTCACCTTCACTCTAACTTTATATAAGATCCTATTCTTTTATTTGTTACCCTTAAAATTTTAATGTGCATACTTGACTTCCTAAAGGTGTATGATAATATTTCTGTTTTACTCTTAAACAACAAAAGGGTTTTAGAATGCTTTGACCCACATATCTTTGTAATTTTTGCCTAGTATATTAGTTTCCCTATGTACTCAAAATTCCATATGTGTCTTTATCACTGTTAAATTATTATATTTTACACAAATATTTATGTAAATATATCTTCTTAAAAAAAAAAACTATAGGACAGGCACACTGGTTCACGCCTGTAATCCCAGCACTTTGGGAGGCCAAGACTGGAGGATCACGAGGTCAAGAGATTGAGACCATCCTGGCCAACATGGTGAAACCCCATCTCTACTAAAAATACAAAAATTAGCTCGGTGTCGTGGCATGCGCCTATAATCCCAGCTACATGGGAGGCTGAGGCAGGAGAATTGCTTGAACCCGGGAGGCAGAGGTTGCAGTGAGCTGAGATCAGGCCACTGCACTCCAGCCTGACAACAGAGCAAGACTTCAACTAAAAAAAAAAAAACCGTAGCTCTTTTCTGGGATGAGTTTTTTCTTAATAAATGTCATCATCTAATGGTTCTTTAAGATAAATTCTATGAGTGATAAGAATCCACCATTGTGTTAAATATCTTTATTTTAGCCTCATTATTAAATGATACTTTGTGTTGATAGCCATTTTCTCTCAGTATTGTCAAGGTTTTTTTTTCTACAATCAGTTTTTGCTAATGTAAAATTTGCTTCAGACAAATTATAATTCTTGTGAATCATTGCTTATAATTTATGGTTCATCAATGCTTCTTTTAATATTTTTACCTTCATCTTGGTTTTTCTGCAGTTTTTCTATTTATTGTTCAAGACTCATGTTTCTTCTATCTCTATCTGAGGAACTGTTTATTTATCAGTCTGGAAAAATCACGTATTATTCCTTTTAATTTAGTTTATCCTCTTTCCATTGTCTTTTCTTGTGGAACTTCTGCTAGATAAATATTACATCTCTTAGTCTATCTTTGATGCCTAAACCTCTTTATATTTTAAATTTCTTTTTTTTTCTGTACCTGACCAACTGGAAGGGGAAAGACAGATTTTTATACAGTATACGGACATTTTAAAAGATTTTATAAGCAGGTGTGAATAAATATAATACAACTGACCACTTAAATATATAGAAAAGTTTTCTGTATCATAGAAATTATAAAAAATTTTTCCAAGGCAAAGGACACAAAAACCGCACAGTCTTCTAGGTAACAAATATAAAAACAAAAATTTCCGTATGTTAAATACAAACCACTTTGAGATTGAAGCAGATAAATGCTCTTTTGCTTAAAAAAATACATTCTATGTGATTTTTCTTTTAGTTTACTAAGAAAAATTGGAATTAACATTGTAATTGTTAACCATATTATGCATTTTTATAAAAAGAGGAAATGCTCTAGGAATACTTCTAACTATGCAGTTTTCTACAAGCTTTGTGACCTCCTCCCATCCTCTAATCATATATCCTGAAATAAAAAGGAAAAGCAACAAAAACAATTTTTGAAATATGTTTTATTGATCTCTTCCTGCAATAATCACTATGATCCCAAACTTGGAGATACCAGCCAAACTTAACTACATGCCCATTTGATTGTTTTCTTTACAGCTATACCATTTCATTCCTTCTCTTTGACCAGAACTTCTCATGAGATCAGCACCAGCTGCATTGCAATAGGATTGCTTTCCTAGTAATTTTCAATGGAAAACATAAACAAGTTTAAACCTTTTACCATTAGACCTGAAAAATAGTAAAAACAAGAAAATATGTCTCTACATAAAAAGAACTAAAATCCTTAGTGGCTGATGTCACCTACAAGAGATGAAGATACAATTGATCAGAGGAGGTCAAACTTGGAAAATTCAGTTTCGCTAAAAGAAAACAAAGGTCAAAATATTTTATGTGGATAAATAACCCTGACAACTGTAGAAGATTTTCTACTTCACATGGAATGGTTTCCTAACAAAAAAGTCTGGGCCAGGCATGGTGGCTCACATTTATAATCCCAGCATTTTGGGAGGCCAAGGCGATTGGATCACAAGGTCAGGGGATCGAGACCATCCTGGCCAACATGATGAAACCCTGTCTCTACTAAAATTAGCTGGGTGTGGTGGTGAGTGCCTGTAATCCCAGCTACTCAGGAGGCTGAGGCAGGAGAATTGCTTGAGCATGAGAGGCGGAGGTTGCAGTGAGCCGAGATCATGCCACTGCACTCCAGTCTGGTGATAGAACGAGACTCTGTCGAAAAAAAAAAAAAGGGTCTGAATGCTCACTAAAATATGTGGTATCAAGCTTTCCACATATCTCTACAATTAATTATTCTCTTTCTCAGTATTACTGAACACATCAGCTAGCATTTGCTGAGTGCCTATGATGGTCAAGGTCACAAACTGTTCCCACGTTAACATTCCTAACTGGCTGTATTAGTCTGTTCTCACACTGCTATAAAAATACTACCTGAGACTGGGTAATTTATGAAGAAAAGATGTTTAATTGACTCAGTTCGGCATGTTTCTGTCGCCTAGGCTGGAGTGCAGTGGTGCAATCTCGGCTCACTGAAACCTCTGCCTCCGGGGTTCAGGCAATTGTCTTGCCTCAGCCTCCCCGAGGAGCTGGGACTACAGACGTACACCAATACGTCTGGCTAATTTTTTGCATTTTTAGTAGAGATGGGGTTTCACCATGTTGGCCAGGCTCATCTTGAACTCCTGACATCAGGTGATCCGCCTGCCTCTGCCTCCCAAAGTGCTAGGATTACAGGCGTGAGTCACTGCACACGGCCAGAAAACTTTCATAGTGGAAGGCAGAGGGAAGCAAGGCACAAGTTATATGGTGGCAGGACAGACAGTGAAAGAAAGAATGAAAGGTGAAGCCAGCTGGACTTCCTGGGTTGAGTAGGGACTTGGAGAACTTTTCTGTCCAGCAAGAGGATTGTAAGATGCACCAATCAGCGCTCTGTAAAAAGGCACCAATCAGCGCTCTGTAGCTAGCAAGAGGACTGTAAAATGCACCAATCAGCGCTCTGTAAAACACACCAATCAGCCAGATCCTAAAAGTAGCCAATCACAGGGAGGATTGAAAAAAGGGCACTCTGATAGGACAAAAACGGAACATGGGAGGGGACAAATAAGGGAATAAAAGCTGGCCACTCCAGCCAGCAGTGGCAACCTGCTCGGGTCCCCTTCCAAGCTGTGGGAACTTTGTTCTTTCACTCTTCACAATAAACCTTGCTACCACTCACTCTTTGGGTCCATGCCATCTTTAAGAACTATAACACTCACCACAAAGGTCCACGGCTTCATTCTTGCAGTCAGCAAGACCACAAACCCACCAGAAGGAACCAACTCCAGACACACAGGGAAGTGCCACACTTAAAACCATTAGCTCTCCTGAAGACTCCCTCACTGTTACAAGAACAGCATGGGGAAACCGCCCCCATGATCCAATCGCCTCCCACCAGGACCCTCCCCTGACACATGGGAATTACAATTTGAGATGAGATTTGGGTGAGGACATAGAGCCAAACCATATCATTAGCTACAGATTTCTTCTGGGTTTACAGCAGCAATATGATTAAAGAGAAAAAGAGAGAGAGAGAGAGAGAGCTACACTTCTATATAGTGGACCACACTATTAATGTTTATAGATACCATAGAGAAGTAGCCCGAAAAAAATTTCTTCACCCTCCTATAATGTCAAACAGACACTTCCAGCTAAATGATAATTTTTCTCTCCTTTGGTTTGAAAATGGGAAAGGTCACTTTGAAAGCAAATAAATGATCCATTTGTTCAGGATTGGATATCAATATATGCTCTTTACATTTAGATTGCTTTTATTTGTGCAGACTTGGGAATAGGCATGTCACTGCAGCACAGAAAAGGAAGATATAGACATCATTTAAAATCATTTTATATTAAAAAGTTGTCTTGCATTCCTTGGCCATTTGGAAACTCCAGATCCTTCTTCTCACTTAAGTTGCTGTAGAAATTACTATCTCTAATCCTACCCCTGTACTTCTGCAAGGGAAGTGCAGATAGTTTCTATGGAAGATGGGGATAAAACTAACTAATGTACCCTAAGTATCAGAGATGACTCAAATACAAACCTGGAGCCAGCTACTGCATCATCTCCATGCTTCCCTGACTCAAAGAGAAGCAGTCTTACTCCTTCTGGCTTGCCCTTTGTCCTCCTGCCAACTGACAGCTGTGGTGAGAAAGATTCTGTACTGACCCTTCCTCCCATAGTCTCCCTAATCATTAGTATGAATTGTGAGAATATAAAAAACAAGAATCCCATTCCACAGTCTCAGTCATGTTAAGCAGCATTGTGTAGGGAGAAGCAAAACAGAACTTCAACAAATAGTCCTTTACTAGGCAAAAGCTATCCTGAGGTAACCCCATTCTAAATTGCTCAGAAACACTAATACAGGAATTTAAGAGAAATGAAAACATTAACACTGATTACAGCATCTCTAGAATATGTAACAAATTGTATACTGAAGATCCCCTGAAGAATGTCATCTCTCTCATGGATACAGACGGGTCTGTAAAATAGCTGTGGCATTTTAATGCTAGTGCATTCTAAAGTTCCAGATGACAGCTGCATAGCCAACATTTTAAAGTGATCAGAAAATTCACGCTACACAATGGTCACAGCTGGACCCATCGATCAAATTGTTTTTGCTCAAATGAGATTCAGTAGTTGTTAGATAATTAAACACTGCATGTTCTGGACTTGAAGATTTTCGTCATGGGAGCTAGATTTGGAAGGAAACAAAATATAAAGCTTTCCCTGTTGCTTTAGCCTGAGATAAAGATTCTTAAAGCCCTGCATGATTCTAGGGCATTAACAGTGTCTCCTTGCAGAGCTGTGCCCTATAATTGTTGTTGGCTATATTGGTCATTAAAATTGAGAACATTTAACTGTTGGGGATTGAATTAAAATACTAATATCCATTCTTGTGAAAGCAGAGTGTTCAGTATGATTAAGAGGTTTTACTCCATTCTCCTGCAGGCTCCAAACTGAATTATCATGCAGAAAGAAGCTTGTGGCCCCAGTGGTCTCATATATGATGAACACTGGTTCCACCACTTCCACATTTATGTGCAATATGTCAGTTAAGATGACTTTCACGGCTGGGCGTGGTAGCTCCTTGTAATCCCAGCTCCTGGGGAGGCCAAGACAAGGGGATTGCCTGAGCTCAGGAGTTCTAGGCTGTAGTGAGCTATGATTGTGCCACTGTACTCCAGCCTGAGCAACAGAGCAAGACTCTGTCTAAAAATAAATAAATAAATAAAATAGACTTTCACTGGAGGACACACAGAAAACTCTGATTTTAATGGTTTAAATGATGACAGTATAAATTTTTAAAATCTGATATAAAGGAATGGTCCCAAGTTCAGTACAATCAAGGTTCAGTTCCGCTTTCATGAGATTGTCTTGGCTCTGTCCTCCCACTATTTTGTTTTGTTTTTAGCTAATAATTATTAACACTATCTATGTGCCAGCCTTAGTTTAAGTACCTCAGATATGTTTTAATTCATGTATTCTTCACAATAGTCCTATGAAGTTGACCCCTTATTTTTATTTTTACAAATGAAGGAACTTTAAATACATATTAACTCATGTATCCTCAAATATTCTCTGAAATAAGCACTAATATTACACATTTTACAGAAAGGGTAAATGAGGCACAGAGAGATTAGCCAACTAACACAAGACCATGTAGCTAGGAAGGGGCGGCGTTGGAATTTGAAGCCAGATTTTGACTCCAAATCCAGTATTCTTCACTATTAGGCCATCTAACCTCATTGTCTCAAGATGTAACTGCAGCTGCAGGGATTCCTTTCATACCTGACCATGTTGGTGTATAAGGGTGGAGGGGCTCACTCTCTTGTCTACATTTTTAAGAGCAAAAAGATCTTTACCAGAGGATCCCCTGCAGAACTTCACTCAGGTCTCAATTGCCAGGACTGTGACACTTGCCCAACCTGAATGATCAGCAAAGGGGACAGACCCACTGTGATGGGCTCACGCTCTCACCAGTCACTACCGAAGCCTCCTGGAGAAGAAAAACCAGGGCAATATTAATGCTCTGCCAGCAAGAAAACAGGGCACAATGGATGCTTGCTTAACAAGCAAAGATGTTGCCTATAGGCATCCACTGTAATGCTTAGGTTCAGGGAATATTGAAATGTGGGCTGAGTATATGAAATCAAACACCCCTTAGCTGCCCTTTCTTTGGAATTTCAAATCATGAAATCATTATGCCAGACAAATACCAGGAAAGAGTAGTGCCTGAAGCAATTGTATTCTCCCTTGAATACTTGTTACACCAGAAATTCATTCTTTCCTTTAATACATATTGGTTGAAAACCTTCTATGTGCCATTTTTATGGTACTAGAAATACAATGGTGAACAAGCAGATATAGTCAGCCTTTGTGGAGTTTACATTGTATTAGAAAAAAAATTAAGTAAATATATAAATGAACACTGATTGCAATTGCAGAGTAAAGCATTAGAGAAATGGGAGTGAGGTTAGTCAAGCAATGCTCTGAGAAGGTAACCTTTGGATCAAGGCTTAAATGATATGAAGAGAAAAAATGAAAATGGTAGCTTGAGTGTTGGGCTTCAGGGCTCTGAGCACCAGCCTTATCACTTCCAATCCCAGCTCTGCAACCACTTGGGCGTGACATCACAGCTCTGTACGTCAGGCTCTTCCACCAGAAAATAAAGACGACTCATCAATTTGTGGGGAGGATTAAATGAGTTAATACATTTTACAGTGTATGTGCTGTCTGGGTCCTGGGGACATTGTGTGTCCTCAGCAAATATCAGCTGTTATTATTATCTCAGAAATAATAGTCCAGGAGCAACGAGTCATCCTTAGTAAAGCTGTGCTTTAGAGGAATAGAAGCTGCTGGGCTGGAGGGAGTGGGGTCAGCGGATGGCAGGAGCTAAATGAACACAGAAGAATGTGATAGGAAGTAAGGCCTGAAAGGCAGGCCAGGGCCAGATCACTCTGATCAGTAAGTGTCAGCTCTGGTTCTATGCTAAGGGTTACCTTGGTTTGAAATAAATCAGAATCTCTGGGGATGAAGTTTAAGCGTCAGATTTTGGAGTTCATGAGTTGGATTCTGACCTTCAGCCAAAGAGGAAAATCACTGATCTGGGCCTTGGATGCTAAAGAAAGGAGTTTGAATTTTATTCCAAGCCATTGCGATGTTTGTGGTGCCCCACCCACTTCCTTCCTCAACCTCATTTCTGTGTGTCAAGTTCTTAACTATCTTTTGGATATGTTACACTCTCTTCAATTAGAAGAGTCTTATGACAATCTCTCCCTCCCCTGCGCCCTCCCACACTCTCTTACCTCTTGATAACACAGTGCTGCACAGATTATGTTGGAGTGTATACATGCTTATTCCTCACTAGAAGATAAAATGCTCAAAAGCAAGAATTATTTATCCTCAAACAGTGTCTCGTCCATTAAGATAAAATGAAGTATTTTAAAGAATACATTTAAGGGCTTTGCTTAGAAACAATTGCTTAGACTAAAAGCTCATGTTATAACAAAGTCCCCATGCTTTAGTCAGTCAAAGCATTCAATAAATACCCAAATGTTAGGCACTGAAAAATAGAGACAGAGATGGCTTCATCAGGTTACAGCTATTTGTTCAAATTGGGAACACATAGAGTGTCATAATGTAATTAGGAACAGGACAAAACAGGAATAGAAGCTGCATGTTTCAAATGTAATTTCTTCCACCAAGTTATGAAGCCATGAAATTATTTCCTCTAGCAATAGATGAAGTAACACATATATAATCAAAATTCTAACTTTTATATTATCATGGTATAAACAGTATCTAATAGTAATGGATTCAAGTTTGGAACAATTTCAAAAGTATCAAGAAAAATCATGCAAAAATTATACCATTCATTTAAATGAATATAAAGCAGAACTCTTTGAAGCCTCAAGTGAACATGTACTTCATGGACAAAACTGCACCTAGTTTTATGTGCATAATTTATATGTATTCATCAAGTATCTGATTCTCATTGCTGTGATGGACATCTGGTTTTGTCATAAACTTACAAATGGACAAATAGTGAATGGAAAATAAGGCAAAATTACTTTCTTGGAGTCCTAAAGTGTTTTGCAATGTAATAAAAAACAAAAAATTATATTGCCTAAGAAATAAAACTGAATTTCATGAAGAACAAAGGCAGTCACTTTACATAGGAGCTTACCTTGAACAGCAGTCTACAAACAAACTAGAAGCTAAAAATGGCCTTGTGAGTTCAGGGCTGGTAAGCATTGAAATGTCTGGCCAACTCTAGTTCACATTGTGATATATAGTTCTATTGGGTACAGACTGTCAAAGTGAGTTAGTGTCAATGAAAGAAAATGGGAGATGGACTTTCAGATGTTCTCATTCAGCTGAAAAGAAAAAATACAGTTCAAAGAGCTTTTCCTCACTGAGCTTTTCAAATAACCACTCAGTAGGAAGGACATACTGCTTGGAAGGGAGGGCTTATAGGAATACTCAGAGAACTTGATAGCTACCATCGTTTTCAAAAGTGAATCCAGGCGTTTGCTCCTGTCCTTTCACCTCAAAAAGAGTAAACAAGTGCTAAAGATAATACAATCACCCCTTTCACATTGTCACTTGACTGGTGATGTGAATTTAAATAGCTGCTTTTAAGCAGTTTCATCCAACCAACTATGCATTAACCAATTCACGATCTCCAGCTTCTTTTAATACACACCAGCCCACGATGGCCATAGCCTGCAGCCTTCTGCAGATATTAGGTCAGGAATAGCACCACAAGTCGCCCTTAAAGTTGACAGCAGAGGCATTCAAGATAATCTAGGTGGGATATTTGTAACTTTTTTTCCTCTACACATACCACCAAATCTAGACTTAATGTGGTAAAATGCAAATGTAAAATTTAGACTAAAATTTTCTGAAGTTCAACTTTCATACAAACTATACTTGTATATATTATGTATTGACAACTCTAAGTCACCTCCCATCTGTCAAATTCAGACATTCATACAATACGTGGCATTCAATATTTTGAGCAAACTCATTTTGCATGGTCTTCTGACCAATGACTTCCTTTCGGAACGTCACCTTCTTTGTCAATAAAGCAGAGTCTGCGTCATTATTTGGATGATTTTCTTGTTCATTGGGTTTTATAAAGCATTTGTTCCTATACCATCGTAAAGATAGAATGGAAAAGAAAGATAGAAGTACCGATGCTTATAATAAGAAGGACAGCCACAAAACCAACAAGGACAGATAAGATTAAGCTGATCTCAGCCAGGTTCGGTGGCTTAAGCCTGTAATACTGGTCGTTCAAGAGGCCGAGGCAGGTGAATCATTTGAGGTCAGGAGTTTGAGATCAGCCTGGCCAACATAGTGAAACCTCATCTCTATTAAAAATACAAAAAAAAATTAGCCCTGTGGTAGTGGCACATACCTGTAATCCCAGCCACTCAGAAGGATGAGGCAGGAGGATCGTTTGAGCCTGGGAGGTGGAGGTTGCAGTGAGCCGAGATCGTGCCACTGCAATCCCATCTGGGTGAAAGAGTGAAACCCTGTCTCATAAATATATATATATTTATTTATATTTCTTTATATAATATACATTGTATTATATATTATTATATTCAATATATTGTATATATTATATTTAATATTATATATTAAATATATATTATGTGTGTGTGTATATATTATATATATATATTTTAAGCTGGTCTCCTGCCTCCATAAATCCATTCATCAGGCCTCCAGTTAGAGTCTAACTGTGAACACAGAATCAAAATGTAAGACTTGTATGGAATGTTAGAAGTATGCCTTCTAAAGTTTTACCTTAAAACTTCCGGGTATAATTACAGACTTTATTTACATTTCTTTCCCCCCTTTAATTGGTCTGAAGTACAGATGTGAGTTAATTCAACCTCTTGATTTCTAATACATTATTAATAAAGTCTATATTGACCCCCTCTTTTGTTTTATTCATTTTTTTCCTCTTCAACTCAGAGATGCCTTTCTGGGTGTTGATGAGAGACTACGGCTATAAGACCAGCTATTTACTGCTTGGAATGAATCCCAGGTCAAATAAAAAAAAAAGGTCCAAATGAATATAAATGTTATGACTAAGAGCATATGAGTTCTTAAGATATAAAACTACTGAATATCTGTAGTGTAAGAGAAAATGTCCTTGATTGGTTCCAAACAGAAGGGTAATAAAATACGGAATGTAGAAGAGGCATTTGAGACTTAGGTTCAACACAAATGCACTAGTAAGACTTAATCAGATATTGAGCACAGAGTCAAATATTCACTCTCAAAATTGGGCAATTATCAAATTTGGGGAAGCTAAGGGAGTAGATAAATATCAGAAAAATTGATCTGTGTTTTTAGGATCATGGAATTCTTCAGATGGGAATATCTGAATAAACCACTCACTCAATGCTTGCTGTCAGAATTGTTCTATTAAAAGTCTCCAGCATAAAAACATTTTTAAAAGGCCATCTTCTCTGCCCAACCTACATTCTGCCTCCTCCTTCTCCCACCATTCACTTTTCACAATGGACATTGAAATATGACCTCCGAAATCTGAACTAGAAGCAAACAAAAAGGAAACTAGTCATTCAGAGTGAAAACGTGTCAAAAGAGAAGGTTTGAGTCAAATCCAGGTGGCGATGTTCCATGAAATACTAACAGAACTCTTCATTTTCATGAGAGAGCAAGAACAGGCAGTGTTTATAATGACGCATTAACATCTGTCTGCGAATATCATCTCCATGGCACCAAAGTACACCACCCAAACAAAGGAAACTCACAGTAAAGGCAAAACTGTACCTTTTTGTTTTAAAATAGGGAATTAGTATTTGAACTGACAAAGAATCATCATATACCATTGACAGGTTCAACTAAAGTATACTATTACCATAAAGTGTCTTTTCATACTAGATTAGACATAATTAAAGCAGACACAATGGAAGTTTTAGTATGAAAAATGTCTCACAGTCCACCACAGTTGGTGGCAGTAGAGTACAAGTGGAATAAGTACTGCCTTTGACACTGTATTTACCTATATTTAATATCAGATTTATCATTCATTAGCTTTGTGTCCCTGAGCAAGTTTTAATTTCTCTCGGCTTCAGTTAAATTGAGGAGAGTAATACACTGTTCACTGTAGGAATTAAATGAGGTAATAGTCATAGACCCCTTGCAAATTACTTACCTATTAATGTCTGTACAATAAGTGTCAGCATTCTTTCTGCTTTCCTTACAAAATCGTCTCCATTATTCTGATCTAACTTCATAATTCCACATTCATTGTGAAAGCAGTTTTTTGAGGCTATAAAAATGAAATGGCTTTCTATTTTTTCAGTCACTACTCTCAGCCCATATCACTTGAATTCCCTTTCCCATCCTTGAATGTCATCTTGGGCAGATATTAGAACTTTCTGAATATCTTTCTGTTTAGAATTAACAAATTAGAATTCAGTCTTGTGCATATTAAAATTCCAGTCTCATATCTAATTCAAAGCTTTCCCTTCTGCCATCTCTGGCTATGCTTGTGAAGTGAGCGAAGAAAAGGGACATGTTTTGCTTTTTCCCTATCTCCTCCATGCCCTTGACAGCTTTGAGCCCTGGATAATAGTGAGCAGGAGGCTGGATTGTGGGGAGCAGGAAGATATCACTGTTTAACAGGACTCAGCTGCAGGGCTCCCAGGCCGGGTCATTGTTGCCCCTCCAGCTCTCACTGACTGGCCGTCCAGCCTTCTTCCAGGCAGACCCCCGTGCTGACCCTGTCCTTGAGCACATGTGTGTGGTCCATGGGACGCCCTCCTTGGGCTCCTGGGGCACAGTTCTCTGAGATGAGAAACCTGGGTCTAGTCCAGTCTCCAGCCCTAGACCCTCATAGTCCACCCTGAGCCCACTGCTACTGGCTTCCCCTCATGCAGTGGAAACTCCCTCTGGAGGGTTCCACTTGACTCATGAGAAACACACTTCCTTTCCATGCCAGAGTTGTGGGTGCCCCCTGCCTTATTCCTCTCCCCTCTCTCCATCTCGCCTTTTCCCCTGTTCAGGAGGGCATAAGGAGAAAAGCAGCAGTGTGGCCTAACCAGGCATCTAAATGCAAATCAGAATACCAGGCTTCCCTTTTTTCCGTTTTTTGCAGATAATCCCACCATCTTTCATTCCCTTCTCATGAATCTTCCCTGCTGCCAGTAAACCTGAGCATTGAGAAGGGAGTGCCTCTTCCTTAGATGAGGATGAGGGACTCAATACTCTCCACTAACACTGTAATTCCCAGACGACTGGCCAATTTTTCTTCCCCTCCTGGGGCACCCCCTAGTATAGTCTTGGAGGGGTTCCTCTTTTCATGGGGCTGACTCTGCAGGTGTCTGGTTGGAATGGTTCATGGTTGTCTTTACAATGTAGGGTAGGTCCTCTTGCCAGTTTTCAGGCGTGAATTCAGGCTAACAGTTTTAGGGTAAAGGGAAAAATTTTCATCAGTGCTGAGTTGCAAATGGGAAACAAAAGCCTGAGAAACAATAGAATTGAATAAATGGCAAGAAGCACAAACATTAGGTGTACGCAGATTCTGCTTTTTCCTCTGTGATGTGGTCACAAACTTACTCCAACTACAACTTTGTAACTAACCTCGTCTTCACAGCTCCCACACAAGGCAGTAGAAAGACTTCAGTCTGTTATTTCTGCTCTCCAGCTCTCCACCATGTTCCTCTCTAGACAGTGTTTGATGTGTGAGTGCAAGGACATGTATGGAATTGTGAGGGGGCACAGGGAATAGACCCTCAGGTCTGTCCTGTGTCCTTGAGGTCCATGCCAATCCTGGCTCTACATCTGATATTTCTTGGGGAGTATACAGCCCGGTTTCTTCTCTGGATGTTCTGATTAGCATCTGTGGCTGAATCAGCAGTTGACTAATGCCCAGCACTCAGCTCATTGAGGGCCAGCCACTTCTCCCTGCAGATCCACACTTTGCTTGGCTTGTGCAAGGCTAGACACACATTCTCTGTCAGGTACCTCACCCCGATAGCCTGTGAGGCATGTAATTCTACTCTCTTAACGATGCAGTCTTCCCTGTCCTCTATGGAATTGTTTGTGTGTTTTTCTATCAATTATCTATACTGATAAGTTTCCTTTGGAAATTTCCAATAACTATTGGGTTAAGAGAGTGATCTATTAAATATTTAGTTCCCTGAGATGGTTCAGGACCGTCATCACCTCAAATGTACTTGATAGAAGAAAGAAGCCATTATTGTTTACTTTGTCATTTTGAATAGGCATTTTGTTACATTATTTGTTGCTTCAACTTTTTAAAATTTTAATTTTAATTTCAATGGTGTTTGGAGTACAGGTTACATGGATAAGTTCTAAGATTTTGGTGCACCTGTCACCTAAACAATGTACACTGTACCCAATGTGTAGTATTTTATCCCTCACCCCCCTCCCACCCTTCCCGCCGAGTCCCCAAAGTCCACTGTATCATTCTTCCGCTTTGCATCCTCATAGCTTAGCTCCCACTTATAAGTGAGAACATACAATATTTGGTTTTCCAATCCTGAGTTACCTCACTTAGAATAATGGCCTCCAGTCCATCCAAGTTGCTACAAAAGACATTATTTCGTTCCTTTTTATGGCTGACTAGTATTCCACAGTGTATATATACCACATTTTCTTTATCCACTCATTGGTTGATGGGCATTTAGGTTGGTTCCATATCTTTGCAATTGCAAATTGTGCTGCTATAAACATGTGTGTGCATGTGTGTTTTTCATATTATGACTTATTTTCCTTTGGGTAGGTACTCAGTAGTGAGACTGCTGGATCAAATGGTAGTTTACTTTCAGCTTTTTAAGAAATCTCCAGCTGGGCACAGTGGCTCACACCTGTAACCCCAGCACTTTGGGAGGCTGAGGCGGGTGGATCACGAGGTCAAGAGATTGAGACCATCCTGGCCAACATGATGAAACCTCATCTCTACTAAAAATACAAAAATTAGCTGGGCATGGTGGTGTGCACCTGTAGTCCCAGCTACTTGAGAGGCTGAGGCAGAAGAATCACTTGAACCCGGGAGGCAGAGGTTGCAGTGAGCCGAGATCATACCACTGCACTCCAGCCTGGTGACAGGGCGAGATACTGTCTCGAAGAAAAGAAAAAAAAAAAAAAAAGAAAAAGGAATCTCCAGTTTTTCATAGTGGTTGTACTAGCTTACATTCTCACCAGCACTGTAAAATATTCCCTTCTCATCACATCCATACCAACATCTACTGTTCTTTGACTTTTTAATAATGACCATTCTTGCAGGAGTGAGGTGGTATGGCATTGGTTTTAATTTGCATTTCCCTGATAATTTGTAAGGTTGAGCATTTTTTTATATGTTTGTTGGCTGTTTATATATCTTCTTCTGAGAATTGTTTATTCACGTCCTTTGACCACTTTTTGATGGAATTATTTGTTTTTTTTTTTTTTCTTGCTGATTTGTTTGAGTTTCCTGTAGATTCTGGATATTAGTTCTGTGTCGGATGCATAATTTGCAAATATTTTCTCCCACTCTATTGGTTGTCTGTTTACCCTTCTGATTATTTATCTTGCTGTGCAGATGTTGCTTCAATTTAATATGAACAAAAATCTTACTACAATATGACAGTATTGCCCTCATTAAAACAGAGAAATGATTTTTTTAAGTTTTCAATATCTTTAAAGCTGGCAATTGTGTTAGCATTGTCTTGAAAGGTGTCTCTAATAGGTGTATATTATGGAAATCTACTATACAGAGAATAAAAGTGACACTTAAAAGTAATTTCAATCACTACAGAAACTAAATATCCCACCATAACACACAAAAGTTTATTCCTTTTTAGATTTTACAAATACATGGTCTGTAATTTGATAGTTGAAAAAAATTGCATTTAATGTCAGGAACTTACGCAGTTGAGTTGAAGGTTTTTTAAGAAATTATATTAATATCATAAAAATCAGCTTATAAAAAAACTAGTGCCATTATTCTCCTAGCCCCTTTAATTCATATTACAGTATGAACTGTATAGTGCATAACTTTGAAAAGCCTCAGAATCAATACTTCACAGTTGCAGGTGGGGCAGATTTTTAAAGTATTTATGTCCCAAACTATCTTTGAAAATGTCCCTATGTTTATTTAACTGGTTTATTTTTAGTGTTACTGAAATTTTCCAGGTTTGGGATAGTTATGCTACTTTAAAAAAATGAAAGCATCACTTACTGATGTGTGAAATGATCATATAGATCAAGATGATGAAATAAAAACGTTTTTGAAACTCCAGATTGTCTGAATTTTCAGAGGAGTAAAATAATCTGGCCTTTAGTTTACATTGTTTTAATGTGTTTACTAACTACAGCTTTCCTTCAATGTGTGATGCATACTTACTGCTTGTTTTTAAGACCAAAATTAACCTCTTCCAGAAGGGTGATTATTAGCTTAGCTGGAAAAAAAAGACAGGATTCATTTAAACAAAGTCTTTGGCCAGGTCTGTAATAGCAAGGTGTAGAAGAGAGGCAATCAGCAACAATGACTTAATACTCACTTTCCACAAACCTTTCTAGCATGTCCCATGGGTAACTTTAAAGAGAGCAACAGTCTCTGCCTTCACCGTATCGAAAATTAAATAGGAAACCTAAAGAAAAGCATCAACACACATGAATAAAATGCCAGCAATTTGGAAACATAGACAAATGCAGCCAACATGGCCTTTATTTGTGGCACACATGCTCCTTTTTTTTTTGAGATGGAGTCCCACTATGTCACCCAGGCTGGAATGCAGTGGCACGATCTCTACTCACTGCAACCTCTGCCTCCCGGGTTCTAGCGATTCTTCTGCCTTAGCCTCCTGAGTAGCTGGGATTACAGGCACCTGCCACCAAGCCCAGCTAATTTTTGTATTTTTAGCAGAGATGGGGTTATGCCATTTTGGCCAGGCTGGTCTCGAACTCCTGACCTCAGGTGATCAGCCCGCCTCAGACTCCCGAAGTGCTGGGATTACAGGCATGAGCCACTGCACCCGGCCAGCACACATGCTTTCAAAGATAAGAATATTGCTCTAATTCTTTACCTGTTTGGAAGAGATAGAGTCTAATAAAGAAGAATGTAGTACAAAAAAAATCATAGGATTGATCTATTACAATACAGAGGAATAATGAGAGGCTTTCCACATTAGAAGAATCAACAGTTTCATACATAACTTTGTACATGGGACATGTACTATTCTAAAGAGCTCGCTGGAAAAATCAAATTCTATGATCACAATGTTCAGGTACCAGCGTCCTGGTAAATTTTACTTATCTACCCTTTCCTAAAATAGAATCTTGCCACAGAATTGCTTTATGGCATTAAAAAAAAAATACAGTGGCTCAAAGACCAGCGTTGCCCCATCCAACCTGGTTGTTTTTAGATATTGTCACCAGTAAATTCTTAGAGTCATCCTATAGAGCTCTAGCAGGTTATTTAAATAAATGCATAGTCATTATATCATTTTTGTCAATAATATTCAATATTAATTCCTATAAGCACTCTTTCTATTAATCATTTTATCTTTTCTTCAATAAATTCACTATGTTATTCATGGTACTTTATCAGTTGGTGAATTAATTAGGTTTCTTCTGAATTAATCAGGTTTCTTCTGTAATTAGATTTTTCCAGAGATTACATCAGGTAATGCCCATGGGTTATAAAAACAATCCTTTTGCCACACTCCTATGTTAGTGGGGGATCTGCCACTGGGCTTATCTCAACTGGGCTTGCCTAGGCTTTCAGCCCTAGCGTGGATCACAGGCCTCAGATGGGTTTGGGTTTTCATTTCAGCACCCAGGCTGAGAAAACAATAATTTCCTGAGACTGGCTCCACTTGTGGCAAAGGGCAGATATCCCAGGAGCACTGGGGGTAACTTTACGTGTCTCTCAAGGCATCAGTTTGGTACAAGCACATAATCATTTCTGGTCACTATTTCGTTAGCCAAAGGAATTATCACTTGGCCAAGCCCTAAGTCAATGGGGTAAGGAAACAGACTACACCCACAGGGAAGCTATGGAAGGTAGGGGAGAGAAGGGAAAATTAGGGACTCATAATACAATCTACCCCATGTATGTAAGTAAAGAGAGAGAGAATAAAACCTAGTATCTCATAATAACTTATAAACACTATGCTAAGAAAATCATGATTGCAAAAGAGGTCAGGATGTGGAAATTTAAACTGGTTAATAAGGATGACTCAGGCTCATCTGATCCAGGCCAGGGAAGCCCCATGACTGTTCAGTTATTTCTTTCAGGCACTGATAGGGACGCTTCCATGACTCAGTTACATAGCACACCCTCCTGGCCTTCATTTGGTTTAGTATTCTGGCAATGTTTTACCAAACAGCAGCTTTTCTTCTGGGTTTAGCTCCAGCTCTCCCTCACATATTGACTTTTACCAAACCCTTTATTTTTACTCACTTAACCTGGGTCAGGTGCTCCCAATAGTCAAGCTCTCACCATAAGCATCTGGCACCGAGAACCTGACAACCATGACTACAGAGTGTTTCCTGCCTTTAAATTATCCAGTTTCTTATGGAGGATAGTGCTTATTCTCAAAATAGGAAAGTCATAAATCAGCAAAAATGTTATTAATCTAGACTACTTAAGCAATATACTTAAAAATATATGATCTGATTTTAAATACTACATTTTTATTTAAAACAAAGAGTGAGTGGCCTGGCGCGGTGCCTCATGCGTGTAATCCCAGCACTTTGGGAGGCCGAGGCAGGCAGATCACGGGGTCAGGAGATCAAGACCATCCTGGCTAGCAAGGTGAAACCCCATCTCTACTAAAAATACAAAAAATTAGCCAGGCATGGTGGCAGACACCTGTAGTCCCAGCTACATGGAAGGCTGGCAGGAGAACGGCATGAACCCAGGAGGCAGAGCTTGCAGTGAGCAGAGATCGCGCCGTGAACCTGGGAGGCCGAGCTTGCAGTGAGCAGAGATAGCACCACTGCACTCCAGCCTGGGCGACAGAACAAGACTCTGTCTCAAAAAAAAAAAAAAAAAAAAAAAATGAGTATAAGCTGTTGAGCTTCCTAAATACCAAATAAGTCATGAAATATAGTAGAATAAGATAGTTTATGTTTTATTGTAGCCTTTGTCACTAAGATTTACAATTACTTTTCACATGACATACATCCCTATATTTGATACCTTGGTAACCTCACTCAAATGATGGCAAATATGAGCTTTAAGGGTTTTGTATAGTCCTATTCAACTGATATTAAGTATTTGAGACATTATGAAATTATCTTTTTTTTTTTGAGATGGAATTTCATTATTGTCACCCAGGCTGGAGTGCGATGGCACGATCTAGGCTCACTACAACCTCCACCTCCCGGGTTCAAGTGATTCTCCAACCTCAGCCTCCAGAGTAGCTGGAATTACAGGTGTTTGCCAACATGCCCAGCTAGTTTTTGTATATTTAGTAGAGACAGGTTTTCGTCATGTTGGCCAGGCTGGTCTCGAACTTCTCGAAGTTATCTTTTTACATTAAACACATATATATATTTTATTCATAAAGAATCCCAGTAACATATACATAAAAACTCTTCTAATTTGAAAGTACAGAAATTCCATAAAAATTTAGCCAATAAATTTAAATAATGGCACTATCTGATTTAAAGAACATTTAGTTAAAGTTGTACTTTTTAATTTAATCTTGAATCTTTTTCAGATTAGCATCTCAAAGAAGTCTTATTCTCATGATTATATTTTCATATGATTTGTTCATTGAATCAAAGGTCAGTCATTTCAGAGAACACTTATTGAACATCTAGTATATATTAGGCATTGAGTACTCAAAATGTAAAGGCCAGCAGTAGAGACAGCTTCAGTCATCATGGACAATATAGTTTACAGATACTGTCTGCCAGTGATATCGACAGAAAGAGCAAACCAAATTAAAAAGAAAGGCTGGGTGCAGTGGCTCACACTTGTAATCCCAGCACTTTGGGAGGCTGAGATGGGTCGATTACTTGAGCCCAAGAGCCGGAGACCAGCCTGGGCAACATGGCAAAACCCAAGATCCACAAGTACAAAAATTAGCTGAGGGTGGTGGCACATGCCTATAGTCTTAGCAACCCAGGAGGCTGAGGTGGGAGGATAACCTGAGTCCAGGGAGGTGGAAGCTGCAGTGAGCCTTAATCACACCACTGCTCTCCATCCTGGGCGACAGAGTGAGACCCTGTCTCAAAAAAGAAAAGAAAATATATTTTTGGATAAAGTTTTATGAAGAATATAAACTTGGAAACAGGATAGAAAATGACTCGCAAGATGTGCACCGCTTGACATAGGGAGGTCAAGGAAGACATCTGGGTGAAATCTAAAGGAAAAATAAGAGAAGAAGCCAGCAATGTGTGATACTGCGAAAAGAGATTTCTAGGCTCTGCAGAAAAGAGGAAAGAGGCTGTCATGTGTGAATGAGCCTGTGGTGTTCAAGAGACATGGGGAAAAAAGACTCTTGCCTGACACCCACGGAGCAAGGGTGAGCATGGTACTTGGGGGTTCAGGGGAGTGGGCAGAGGCCGGGTCCCTGAGGGAGTTTTGACATAGATGATGGTGACTTCCAGAGCAGTGTGCCCATGAAGAAACAGCAAATACTGGGTTTCTAAAAATCACTCCCCCACCGTTCAGTAACTATACATACCAGAAGTAAACCACTCTTTGGTTCTCATTGTTATAACCTGTAAAAAATGGGAATCTTTACAGTCATAGTACCAATACAGATTTTAATAGATTTATTTAATCAAAAATCTCAAGATCTAACATATTGACTGAAAACTAACCTATATTAAGCCTCTTTATTTTATGTTAATCATACTCGGAACTTGTTCTGTCGTTTGTCCTAAAACTATAATATACATACCTTTGCAGCTGGACAAAGTGGTTTCCTAGCAACAAAATGATTAGCACTTTCTTTGCAAGAAACTAATCACCTTAATATAGATGGAAGAAAAAACGCCGGCACTCTAGTAGAAGCAAAAATTCTTTCACAAAACAACTGATGGAATTTATGTATTCACCCATTCAACACATATTTATTAAATGCCTGCTAAACACCAAACACAATGATGACCATTGAGGACTAAAGGTTACTGCTTAGCATGATGTAGGGGTTCTATATTTAATACATTATTTGTTGAATTAGTATATAATCCTAATTCATAAATTATTGTACAAATGGCTCTCTAGTTTCAAATGAAAATATATTGAAAACAGTATAATGGTCTGTATTAGGTTCTCCAGAGAAACAGGACTAATAAGATATATACATGTATATATAGAGGGAGATTAAAAGGAATTACCTCATGGAATTATGAAGAACTCGAGGGCAGGTCAGCAAGCTGGAGGCCCAGGTGAGCTGATGGTTTAGTTCCAATCTCAGTCAGAAGGCCTGAGAACCAGGAGAGTCTATGGTAAAGCTCTAGTCCAAAGGCCAGCAGACTAGAGACTCGGAAAGAACTGATGTATCAGTTGGAGTGTGAAAGCAGGAAGAAAGCCTGTGTCCCAGTTTAGAAGGCAGTCAGAGGGGAAGACTTCTCTCTCATTCAGGGAAGGTCATGAGGCTGCCCATATCATACAGGGCTATCATCTTGAATTCAAAAACCACCCTCACAGAAACACCTAGAATAATGTGTAATCAACTCTCTAAGCATCCGATGGCCCGGTCAAGTTGACACATAAACTACCACTCACAGTGTCCGATTTCTGAGGCTGATGAAATAATACAGATGAGTGATAACGATGGCAGTAGAAAGGAAAGATCTGCAAAGAATGAAAAGATATTAAGGAGGTAGAGAGAAATGGAGAGAGTGGCATTGTAGAGTAAACATATTCTATGTATCCAGATCATCTGTTTATTTGAAGTTTGAGAAGGGATATGTACGAGAACAACTGTAGTTGCAAAGTTAAAGCATCCCTCCCTCCAAAGCACTCCCACTGTGGTGTTGCCAAGGGAGAGTATGGATTTGTTTGCATGATTCTGGCTTTATATGTGTATGGATTTGTTTGACTATGGAACTGGGGTGGGAATGACGAGAAAAAGTAGGTGAAAGAAAGCTAGAAGATTTCTAGCCAAAACCAATAAGAACCCTTCTCTTGTTTGCTGCGGCTTCTTGGAGACAGTGCTGCACTGTCAAGGCAGCTCACAAACACACGGTTGTGAGCAAAATATTAATAACAACCTTGAAAAATCACGCAGTTAAGTCTTCTGCCTTCAAGAACATACTTAAGTCCTTTTAGAAATAAGATTCTGTTTATTTTCTCTTTCTTCAGAAAGGAACATTCCTCTTGCTAATTCATTATCAGAAACATTCGATTGCCTCTAAAGTATTGTCACACAAGATATTAGTGCTTAATAAAAAGTCTCTTAAAGTAACTAGGTGCTCCAATAATGCAATTATTATTGCTACTATTAATGCTGTTGAATGGTTCTTTGCTCTACCTTCAAAAGATATCAGTTGTGTGATTGGACTTGCTAATTGTCCTCCTTAGACCTCAGTTCTTTCAGTTGTAAAATTCAAGTTTGGATAAGAAGATCATTATGGAGACTTCTAGTTTTAATTTTGTACCCATGATTTTTAATAGCTTTAATACTAGATTTTTTTTCCCCTCCACTTAGGCTATGCTTTGTCTTAAAAGGTACCATGCTGCCCTCATGTGGTCAGACTTGAAATAACACATAAACGATTACTAAAACTGGTAAGTGCATTTTTAAATTTTGTTTTAATGAATAATGAATGAAATCCTACATTTGAGCTTAAAATTCACAAACAGTCAATACTCAAATCAATTTGAATCATCTATTTACAAAAGTGCCAAGCATTAACTCACTCATAGTGATGTAAAATTTTGATGTAGAAATAATATTACAAACATGAATACCAATATTAGTTAATTGTAATGAGCACTACCATGTGCTAGGCACCATAAATATTTTACATATCTTATCTCATTTGATTTTTCTAAGATAGGTTTTTTTTATCTATAATTTGTCAGATGAAGAAATTAAACCACTTTTGGGGAATGGGCGAAGACACCACAATAAATAAAATGGTAAGGCCATCATCAAACTCAAGTTGTGTGACTCCATAGCCCAAACTCTTTCATCACTAGCTTCCCACTCAACCATTTTATATTTATAAGAGCTCGTTCCTGGACACATTCACAAGGAAATGCACATAGAAAACTTGAAATGTGATGAGGTAACATATGTGAAAACTGCATTAACATAACGTCTGATACAGAATTAGCTCACAGAATGTTCACGTGTTTTTTAATAATGTACGATACTCATTCATTTAATAATTAATATTCACCTCGTTGGTCAGGCTGGTCTCAAACTCCTGACCTCAGGTGATCCACCCGCCGCAGCCTCTCAAAGTGTTAGGATTACAGGCATGAGCCACCGCACCCAGCCCTATATTCACTCTTAATCATGGCATGAATAAAGAGATAAAACATGTAGCCATAACAAATGAGTACCAGTTTTCTAGGCAGTTCTAACTTTATCACTTGTGAGGGTGAATAGGTCTGTCTGAAGTTTTGTAATTCAGGAAAACTTTTTCAAGTTTATAACTTTATGTATGACTTCCTGGGACGGATGAACAATGGCTGTGTTTTAAATTCCATAAAGGAAAATAAATGTAGTAAGTCTAGTTTTAAAAGTGAGAGGGGCTTATCCACTCAACAAGGCACCCTAAAATATCAGAAGGAGGTGGATGGTAGGAGGCAGGACACCGTGTCAACCCCTGGCTCTCCAAGTGCCAGCTCTGTGATTTTAGGAGCATGTTCATCTTACTAGGAAACTTCTCATCTGCAAATTAAAGAGGCGGGCTACAGGATTTGGACATGCTCTGCTAGCCTCCACATTCCATTTTTCTAGTAATCCTAAAAGTCTTAGGTTCTGAGCCACTTTCTTTCCTTGGGCTGCTTTGTTGAATTATACCACAGTCACTCCCTGGCTGTGTGGATTAAGCCTCAGAAAGCCCCCATGGGAGGAGGACTTGTGCTTGGTTAGGCTTTGTTTAACTTACTTTCCTATTTCTTTTTTTTTTTTTAATGTTTTTTTTTTTATTATACTTTAAGTTTTAGGGTACATGTGCACATTGTGCAGGTTAGTTACATATGTATACATGTGCCATGCTGGTGCGCAGTGCTTTAAGAAGAGGCTCTAATGGCACGTGCTCTGGCATTCGGTTATAACGCGCAGAGATAAGACCATTAACTTCAACTCTTACAGAGGTAGTTAAGAAATAGGAAAGTAAAGTCATCTAGACATCTAGACTTTCCTATTTCTTAACTACCTCTGTAAGAGTTGAAGTTAATGGTCTTATCTCTGCGCGTTATAACCGAATGCCAGAGCACGTGCCATTAGAGCCTCTTCTTAAAGCACTGCGCAGATACAGGAAGCTAGCAATTCCACTCCAGTTACTATTTTCTCTCCCCAAATTCCATGGCAGAAATCACACTTCCCTCTCTGCTATCTATATTACCTCTCTTTTCCATTCCAAACCCCCAAACCTTATTTCCCGAAACATCTCCAACCTTAGAAACATCACCTTAGACAAAAATTCTCTAAGTTTTCTGGATCAGCGAGATATCTAAAAAGAGATTATGGCTAGGGAGGAATTACTGTATTTATAAAACCTAAACAAGTAAAGTCATTAAAAAATTGCCATATTCCTCCAGTATTAATGATAGCTACTTCTAATATGATATAATTATTAATGCAATGTTGATGTTAGCAAAGAAAATCATTAAGAAGCAGAATAGACAGGAAAGGGCGATGATCCTCAAATATAAAATTATTTTTGTCCAAGGACTTATCAATGAAGAGAGTAAAGTCTAATAATGTTGATCCTAAATCTTACCACAAAAGGAAACTTTATCGCCAATTATAACTGCCATTATGAATGAACACCTATGATCCAAGCATTCTGTATTCATTGTCTCTGACCTTCAGAACACCACCAGAACTAGAAATTATCATTTCCAATTTACAGGTAATGAAATAGAAGCTAAAGAAGGATAACTAACATTCCTAAGGTCACAAAAGCCAGTAAACAAACAAGAAGAAGAATCCGTGTTAATTGGAATTCAAGAATGTGTTGTATCTACTATATTATGTCATTTGACATTACCTGGGGTCTTAGCTGGAAGATTACCTTAGAGACCATGAGGGGGACCAATATGATATTTAAAATGAAGATCAAATAAAAATCATTTAAACCAAATAGTTCTTCAAAGCAATGAAACAAAATTTGTCTTTTTTTTTTTTTTTTTTTTTGACAAGGTCTCACTCTGTTGCCCAGGCTGGAGTGCAGGGGTGCAATCTTGGCTTTCTGCAGCCTTGATCTCCTGGGCTCAAGAGTTGCTTCCACCTCAGCCTCCGGAGTAGCTGGAACTAGAGGTGTGCACCACTATGCCCGAAACAAAATTTTTTTAGAGCTAACTGCCTCTTTGGCTGTCTTTCTCATATGCTGCCTGAGCTACAGGGTTTTCTATAATTGTTAGTTGGAAGGCAGGATTTACAATTAGGACGAGTCACCTTATTTTATATGAATTCTATCTAAAGACAGTTTTCTCTAGGTGTATGTCTTCCCTGTGAGTCTTGCGTTCTCTTGCATCCTTCCTTTGGGATAATGTGATTTTTGCTCAGGCAATAGAAGTCAAAAGGTGTGTAATTCTTGCAGTCTCCATCTAACTTGAGGGAAATGGAGGGCTGTTAAAGCAGAATGGAGCATTAGCATTAATGACATGCATTAGTGTTAATGACACATTAAAGATACCGGAGTTATTTTCTTAGAGCATGAAAATGACAAATTTTGGCTCTTTAACATTTTTACATGAGTAGGAGAGCGAGTTTTTGGAGCCTACAAAATAGTAGTCATGTCAAAAGTGTTGTTTTGCCTACTGATCCCAGATTTTTCAGAAGTACTTAAGACTGTGGAATAGTTTAAGTCTATGAGGGGAGAACTGATGCGATTTTGCTCTGAGTAGTTAATAATGGTTCTAAGATAAACCCATTAGCGCTGTCTCCACAGTGTGTGTAATGGGACTGAGCTAAAGCACGCGTCGGCTCACATTTATTCAAATGTCAGCAGAATAGAAATGGATTGAGGTTTCCATAGAAACTGCTCTTGAGTTCAGGTGTTTCTTGGGGCTTTTTGTTCCATTAACTGTTTGGAGAAAGAGGTATACATCATGGCTTTTCATTTATGCTATTTACTTTGTCGTTAGGAGTTGGCTGGTGGAGTTACCACGTCTTCCTTTGTTTTATGGCATTTTTGCCAACCCCTCTTACAACCTTTCCCCTCCAGCTGAGAAACGGGAATGAGCAATTTCTACGACCTGACAAATCCTGCCTGTTAGCAGTGGCTGTTCAGACAGCATTTCTTCAATTTCAGCCAGAAAGGAAGTTTGAACATCTCTTACCTAGAAATTTATGTAACTCATTTTCTTATTCAAGATTTACATTATCCCTATGGAATGTCACCATTATAAGAAGTTAAGAACAAAGCAATGACTATGAACATAATTAACAACCACAATAAAAAAGAGGATTTCCTGGCATTAGGAAAATATTCTGGTGTAAAATCTAAGATTAAAGATAATCAACTTTTTCAACTCACACACAAGCCAATTAGTTTCCTGGAGAAATAATGTCCCTTCCCATAATATAGAAAAAAAAATTAAAAAGGGGGAAAAAAAGCCTGAACAATTCAACTCAGAGGGACTACAATGACTCACGTCCATTACCGAATGCCACGCTTGCCTGTAAGTTAAACTAGAACATAAAAAGCTCACAGTGTACTACCAAAGGTATGTTAATAAAGAAGAGCCAATATAAAATAGAAATAGTAATGACAAATAGCAAGATAGGCCTTGGACTTCCCGAGAGCAGGCTGGTGCAGAAGAAAACACAGGCATGAGCTCTGAAGTCTGACAGCTCAATTTACATCTCACCATGGCCACTTACTACTTAGGATCTTGAATAAGTCCCTAATCGCTATACATGTCAGTTCCCTCATGTGTAAAGTGAGAACAATAATTTCTACCTTGCTGGGTTGTTGTAAGGATTAGCAGTAATAGACATGGTTCCTTCTTATCAGTGTATTAAATATCTGAAACCCTGCAATCATGAGGTTGTGGGGATGCAAAATTCTTCATATCGTGAAAAACTCACTAAATACCTAATCTCTTATACAATTAGTATTCATTCCAATATTTTCCCCAGATTAACCCTAGCATTTTTCTCAGTTTATGTTTCAAATTATTTAATAATCTCTAGCTGATTATATGAGGTTTGCAATATCTCATGCAATTAGTACTTAACTTTTCTCTGCCTAAGTTTTCTCATCTATAAAACAGAAACGATCATAATACTACCTTCTGCAAGGGGGAATTAAGGTTAATATTTGCAAAATGTTTAGCACAGTGGTAAATCATAATAAACACATTAATGTGTTGTGTTTCAAGTAAAAATAAAAACAAGGCTGGGTGCGGTGGCTCACACCTGTAATCCTAACACTTTGGGAGGCTGAGGCGGGCAGATCACCTGAGGTCAGTTGTTTGAGACCAGCCTTGCCAACATGGTGAAACTTCGTCTCTACTAAAAATACAAAAAATTAGCTGGGCGTGGTGGCACTTGCCTGTAATCCCAGCTACCTGGGAGGCTGAGGCTGCAATGAGCCGAGATCGTGCCACTGCACTCCAGCCTGAGCAAGAGAGATACTCCATCTCAAAACAAAACAAAACAAACAAACAAACAAACAAAAAAAAGGTAAAAAAAAAAAAAACAAAGAAACAAAATAATTCCGTAGCAAAGTCACTGAAACATGAAGTAGCATGATTAAAAATGGAAGAAAACCCAGAAGGTGCATAACGGGATAAAAACAACAGTAAATATTGATTTGTGTATCATAAAGGTTAAGAGGTATTTGTGAAAATGGTTAGCTCTGGAGTATTTTCACACATAAAGAAATGACTGCATTTGTTACTGGGCTTATAACATTCAACATGAGGCTGTGGTAGCGGGCCTCCAAGATGGCACCTGATGACCCCACCTTATGTCAGCTCCACCTCCCACATCTTACCAGACTGGCTCTGTGTAACCAATGGCAGAAGAGATGATATGTTTCAAGATAAGGTTATAAAAAGACACTGCTGCTCCCACCTCAGTCATTCCCTGGTCCACTGTCTCAATTTCTCTATTCACTCATTCTGCAGGAACAAAGAGCTGGCAGGAAAAGCCCAGCCTTCTGATAAGGTTCTGAGGATTTTGTCCAAAGGCCTAAGAGGAGCTGAGGACTCTTGCTAACAGCCACATGAGCTTGAAATTGAATCCTTTAAACTTGGGAAACCTTCAGAAGATTGCAGCCATATGCAACAGCTTGTCTGCGTCCTCATGAGACACTCTGAGCTGGAACCACCCAGATAAGCTGCTCCCTCCTGGTCCACAGAAACTGTTTAAGATAAGAAAAATTCGTATTTTTAAGATGCTAAGTTTGAGGGTTATATTTTACATGGCAATAGATATCTAATACAGAGTTGAGGGAAGTTCCATGTGCTATTTTGCAAATTTGATGAAAAAAACACATCTCTACATATACATGTAATTTGTAGTGTTTATTCTAAGAATTAGCAGATACTTGCCACCTTCACTTTTCAAGCCACTTTTCAAAAACTTTGTTTTACTACTTAATAGATGATTCTGATCTCCCTTTTAACTGACCCAAAATTCTTCACAATCTGTGCGCTTCTTACTTATCTCATATTCTACTCTCCCCCATCCTTTTTTTTTTCCTTTACTCCATCCATGCTGACGTCTTTTATGTTTCTGGAACGTGCCAAGCAAACTTCCATCTCAAGGCCTTTGTGTTGACAGTTCTTTCTGTCTTAGCTTCTCTTTCCCTGGATATCTGAATATCCATGTGGCTCACTTTCTTCTCCTTCAAATCTTTGCTCAAAACTCTCCTCATCAGTGAGGACAGTATTGAACAGCTTATTTAAAATAGCAGTACCACCCCTCACACTGATGATGCTCCTTATCTGGATTTATTGTCCTTTAACACATGTACAAGTTGAGCATCTCTAATCCAAACACCCAAAATACTCCAAAATCTAAAACTTATTGAGTACTGACATCATGCCACACCTAGAAAATTTCACACCTGACTTCATGTGGTGGGTCATAGTCAAAATGCATTCAAAGCCTTGTTTTATGCATAAAATTACCTAAAATAGTCAGTAAGATTACCTTCAGTCAGTAGCATAAGTGAAACACAAATGAATTTTGTGTTTAGACTTGGGTCTCATCCCCAAGAGATCTCATTATGTATATGCAAATATTCCAAACTCTGGGGGGAAAAAATCTGAAATCTGAAACACTTCCAGACCCAGGCATTGTGGATAAGGGATCCTCAACCTGTAGTAATTTTATTGCGTCTCTCCCCCTCACTGAAATACCAGCTTCAACAGGGTGGGGCTTTTCATCTCTTCAGTCACTTATGCACTTCCATCCATGATGTGTCCTGATGACCTAGAACAATGCCTGACACTTAGGAAGTACTCAATAAAATATTTGTTGATGTAAATCAATTGAAATATCAGTCCCATAGGGATGGGGATTTTCATCCCTTTAGTCACTTATCCACTTACTTGATATATCCTCATTACCTAGAAGAATGCCTGACACTTAGCAGGTACTCAATAAATACTTGATGTGAGCTCCTGAAATGAGTTTAGTTCAAGGGGCTTTTTTACAATACCAATTATCCTAAAGTAAAGATGACTGCCTATATTTAAATTTCCTGACTCCGTAGGTTGTCAATAAACAGGGACTATGGTCTGAAAGCAAAGTTCAGTTTAAAAAGAAAAGTATGTGCTTGTATGAGTCACAAAAAAGGGCTAAGTACAAAAGAACTGCTGAGGTAAACATGAACATCGTTCTGTGAACTTATGATTTAAATAAAATCTTTATCACCACACTTGCCAAGAGCAATATATCTTATCATGAACGTACATAAAAAACTCTTGTGTCTTTCCTCTTAATACTCGGAACATTATTTTTATTTTTATTACGAAGTTTGCATTGGAGAATATTGTAACTCACTGCACCTAGGTAAAAACTAAAGACATAAATCTGATGTTAGTTCTAAAAATCTACAAGGGTAATGATATGAATTTCACAGACATGGAAGCCTTGTTCAGAATAGATTATAATAGAAAGGCTCGGTAGAGCCAGGTTCATGAGTGTGTGACCTGTGCAGAAGTGGGTGCTTAGAAGGCCCATGGCTTGGGTTAATGCTCTGCTGTTGCCGTCTTGAAATTCTTCACAATTTATGAACAAGGGAACTTCATTTTCAGTTTACACGGAACCCTGCAAATTATGTACTTGGCTCTATCTTCCTTTGCAAACGGAGAAACAGGCTTCAAGAGTTTTGAAACTGCCATAATAGATCCAAAAACTGTGTATGCTTTTCACATCTGTACAATTTTGTTACGTATTTATAAACATCTGCTGAATGGATGACTCTATGTATTGGCCCACATCACTTCAGAACTAGGTCTTGAACTTAGGGATTGTGGCAAGAAGGAAAAAGGCAGCTTCCGGTGGCTCACAGGGCAGGCCAGGTGGCTCACACCTGTGAGCATTTTGGGAGGCCAAGGCGGGTGGATCACTAGAGTCCAGGAGTTCGAGACCGGCCTGGGCAATATGGCAAGATCCTATCTCTACTAAAAATACAAAAATAGCCTGGGGTGGTGGCACGCGCCTGTAGTCCCAGGTACTCCGGAGGCTGAGGCAGGAGGCACTTGAACCTGAAGGTCGAGGCTGCAGTGAGACCTGATCTCAACACACACAAAAGAATGACTCTCAGGCTTCTTTTTTTCTAATGGATGGAAGTGAAACCTCGAAATCACATGGTCAAGTGCCTGACTCTTCCAAAACAAAAACAAAAACAAAAAAACTAGCCTCAGCAAGGAGGTCCGTAGCCTCCAGCTGACCGGATTTTCAGTCACAGAACACCGGGGACCTAAAAAAGGGTCAATCTCAGCATCGTGCACTCAACCCAGCTCCTTCCGCCCCTCGAGCCCAGGCTGGGAGGAGCCGAGGAACCGAAAGAGAAAACAGGCCGCGCGGGCGGCAGAGGAGCCGGGCGCCGCAATGGACGTGCGGGCGCTGCCGTGGCTGCCGTGGCTGCTGTGGCTGCTGTGCCGGGGCGGCGGCGATGCGGACTCCCGCGCCCCCTTCACCCCGACCTGGCCGCGGAGCCGCGAGCGTGAAGCCGCCGCCTTCCGGGTACCGAGCGCGCGCCTCCCCGGGATCTGTCCCTGCTCCCTCACTTCCTGTCCCGGGTCTGGGCTGCGGAAGAGGGCCCCCGAGAGCTGACCCTGCTCGTGGGCACCCGTGGCTCTGCGATGCGTCTGGGGCCCTGAGCTGCGGGTGCAAAAGCCAGCTTCTCTCTCCCCTCTCCTTGTGCCATGGTGTCACTCCCCCATGCCTTTGCTAACCAAAAGACTTGATTTTCCAGAAGAGATTTGTCGCTATGGATTTTTGGGACGCACCCAAATAAATCCATAGATACGTCCAAAGTGTCCTTGGTGGGAAGAAGCACCCCCTTTTAGCAATCCCCTCGATCGTTGCCACTGGCTTCCAAAGCTCTTCTATTTCTCTTTTATGAGAACCAGAAACAGGGAGCAGCCTGTTGGTGGAAGAAACCTGTCGTGTTTTTTTTTCCCGAGGAGGGCGCTAGTGATCAGAAGTTAGAAACAAAGAGCCTGTCTTTAGCCAGATTAAAGAATCCTGATGGTTTATGATTCTCCTTAAACTAACGCACCACCTTAAAAGTTCTTCCTGCCTTGGCGGAGACTGAGTTGAAGAAAAGAGAAGCATTTAATTTCCTTTTCATATTATTATACGAAATATAATATAATTTATAATTTATAATATTTATAATAAATACTTAGATTTGAGTCTAGCATGAAAACTCTGGAAGGGACCAGTTAGCTGAGCACAAATAATGATTTTCCTGAAACCAAGGAAACTGCAAGGGATGCCGATTTAGTGTTCGCCTCACTATGTTCTAGATAGCTGATACTATTTAACACATTTTTAAATTCATGAAAGATGCCATTGTCATGATTTAATTTATTGGAAAAGAAAATTCTTTCATTCTGAATCAAACATAAGTCTGAGTTGAGTAATATTGCTCAAGGAAGTGTATCTTTTTTCCTGGTGTTTGTTGGAATTTCTCACAGGATTTCATAGCTGTGCTCTTTTCCCCCGACTCTCCTGGAAAGCTCCAATGTTTAGGAAGGCCAGCCTTCCCTGATTCTGTCCACTCTTACGTTTTGTCCAAACCGAGATGTGTACTGTTATCTCCACTTTATTATTCTTGAGTTCAGTTCTAGCTTTCAAAACCAGAAGTCCTCTTACTCTTTCAAGAACAAAATTCTGGCCTGTATTCTACCCCTATCCTCAACTTACGTTCGTTTTCCTGGTAAACCAAACCCCTTAGGGGAAAAGTCAGTTTCACCTTTATTGGTAACGTATTCATTGGCTAAATAAATAAACACACTGTCAGGCTCCTAAAAATAATATTTCAGGACAAAGCTCAAAGGGCTAGACTTATAAATATATTTTTAACATTTATTTAGATTTTAGATAATTTATAAATATATATGTGTATAATTTATGTAGTGACTCATACTGGTCCTGTAAAGAGGCCATACCCTGATGAATGTCTAGAAAATGTAACTTTTCTCAGGAGAAATACAAAGAAACAGGTTGAAAGATGGAAAGTTGGAAGTGGAGGAGGATCGAATTATGAAGACTCTTAGTACATTTTAAAAACCTCGGGTTAAGAAATACTGAAAAAATTTTCAAAGCAATTGCTGCCTGTAAGAATTTGCTTCATGAGATGGATACCCAAAAAAGAGAACATTGAGGCTTCAACGCACAGTTGCTGGAAACTGAACACCTCTCGGTGCTTAGTTGGACTTTATCCAAGAATGCTTTAAAACCGATTTTCTACCTTAGTGGTCCCCAATCTTTTGGCACTAGGGACCGGATTCATGGAAGACATTTTTTCCATGGACGGGAGGAGGGAAGTGGGGGAGATGGATGGATTTGGGATGAAAGTCTTTCATCTAAGATCATCAGGAATTAGTTAGATTAGTTAGCTGGAGATTGCTGTTCGGACTTGGGATAGAGAGCTGGACAGTGGGAAAGGTGGAAAGGGCCTTGCCTCCTTGGTAACCGTGAAACTTCATGTTGAAATCAAGTTAATTCATTGGTGAATTGATGATTCAGGGGTTTGCAGCTGAAGATCTGGTTCAAGAAAGTCCTTGATTAATTAGTAATGTCTTTCATGGTCATGGGTTTAGAGAATGGTGAAGGTTTTAAAATTTGTTTTAATCTTAGCCTTAGATAGTTTTGTAAGTTTCCCAGGAATGCACGTTAAATGAAAGTTAGGTTAGCCCATGACTTTCCCACAAAATATTATAGTATTGTTCAGTGAAAACTAGACTCCACTATGGTTTATTATGGGATGCCTCACAAGACACCTGACTTTGGATGGCACCCCTTATCTCTGCACTTTCACTCCTTTAGAAACTTCCAGTGCTCAGGAAGCTCTTAACTATTGGATTTAGCCTACTCTCCTTTGTGCCAAAACCTAGCTATGCCCTCATATTTACTGATGCTCATTATTTTACCACAGAACATTTGGTATTCTTATCCTTTTGGGAGGCACAGACCCAATATTGGATCCAATAAAATTTGCTTGATACACTCACTTTAGAATAATATCTATGCCAAAGTACATGTGATTTTACATAAAATTTCCAAAGCTTTACCTTAAGACCAGTTGCCGTAATGACACAGGTTATATTATTATAAGATTATTTATATATTTAGGAATATTTATTTATGTGTAAATAGATGGCCATAGCATCTTTATAACAAGTGATCCTAACTAATGAGCCACTTATATGTGCTTGCCGTAATCAGCCCCTTGAAATCTGGAATTAGGTCCTCCAAATAGGCTTTATCCAAGAAAGCTTTAATACCTATTTTCTACCTCAGTGGTTCCCAAACTTTTTGGCACCAGGGATTGGTTTCATGGAAGACAATTTTTCCACGGACTGGGGTGTCGCGTGGGGTGAGGAGGATGCGGATGATTTCAGAATGAAGCTGTTCCACCCCAGATCATCAAGCATTAGATTCACATAAGGACTGTGCAAACTAGATCCCTTACATGCACCGTTCCCAGTAGGGTTTGTGCTCCTATGATAATCTAATGCTGCTGCCGATCTGACAGAAGGTGGAGATCAGGTGGTGATGCATGCTCGCAGGCCCCTCACCACCTGCTGTGCAGCCTGGTCGTTAACAGGCCACAGAACAGTACTGGTCCATGGCCCAGGGTTTTGAGACTCCTGTTCTACCTTATATAAAGATGATAACACGAATTTGATGTTAGATAAGGTTGTTCAGCAGACTTTTTCTGATGAATCTCACTTAAAGCATACATGGACTAAATGGAAATATATCATAAACTTAAAATCATAGGTTATAATTTATTCATCTTCCCATACATTTATCCAATACTTTATTTAATTTCTACTGTGTCTAAAGAACTGGTCTGGGTTTTCTGAGGGATACAGTGGAGAATAAGACGCGTGCTGTCCTGTAAGAAATGTACACAAAAAATGAATATCGTTATGTTTAAGCATTGTATCCTGTAAATAAACATTTTCCTGTAAATAAAAAGAATGTAAAGACTTATACACTGGAGAAATAGATTCTCCCAAGTAGTTCACAAAAGTATGTATTTTTAATTCAATCTTTTTGTGTACATGCTCACACAAATACTGACTACACATTTCTTATCATACATAGTAAACATATATCTGCAATATGTTTACACACACTTCAGTACACTGTATAGAAAATACTTTGTCTAAGAAACTTTTCAAAAGCTGTACTTTATAAAAGTGTATCCTTTAAAAAGCTTTTATTGTTCTAATCCAAGGCTCCTCAACAGTGGCACTATTGACATTTGAGAATGGATAGTGATTTGTTGTGGGGGACCTTCCTCTTCATTGTAGGGTGAGTAGCAGCATGCATGGGCTCTATGCACCAGATGCCAGTGGCATCCCACCAGTATGACAATCCCCAGTATGACAAATGAGGGACAAAATTATCCTCAGTTGAGAATCACTGATCTAAAGTTTACAACTCCTAAGTCTTCCAAGAAATTCTCAGTGATGCTCTTTGTATACAAATATTTTACCTTTTTTGCTCATCCTCAGCTTTACTGCAATTTCCAGAAACGAAAGCACTCCTAAGGAGAACATTTTAAATCTATGTGTACAATTTACGATTTATCCTATGAAACTTCAAAATCTGCAAATGAAAGTTGTTAAAAGTCTGAGTAATGGAACTGCAAGACAAACAATGAGTTTAAAGTGCCGAAGATAAAGTGAGCTTCCAAAGTACCTTAGGTGTCTCTGTTAATTTCAATATAAAACTTATCCCATGGATACATGGGATTCATTGTAAGGGAATACACACATCATTGCGTATATTGATAAAGGCAAATAAATCATCATTAGTGGAAGGAAACCTAGATATCAATGGGGAAAAATAATAGATGTTCACTGCCTTTTCAGCTGATAAAACAGACATGAAGTCCCTTAAAGTTTATAACGCTTCAGTAGATTTCTTGCAGGCTAAATAACTATACCCCTCCACCAAATACTAGTTGTGTGATCTTAGGCAAATCATGTATCTGTTTCTCAGATTTATTCTTCTGTGAAGAGGGGTAATGTTAGCAATTACCTTTATACAGGGCTAAGTTAATTCATGTAAAACACTTAGAATGAATACTTGCATTCAATTTAACAATCCCTTCAACCCTTTGTATTTAGTGCATTCAGTGGCTGAGAACTTTCCTTGTAGAGAAATGAAAACTCAACAGTTTGCTCATAAAAGATTCGCTTACTCCTTTAGAAACAGTTGAGTACATGCAAGAAGAAAATACATGATTTCATTTACTCTTACTTAGTGGCAGTCTGTGAGAAAGATTTCACAGATTTTTCCCCTCAGGGAAGTAGATTAAGGAAACATCTGAGAACCCCTCAAGCCACCCTCCGTGGGTTTCTACTCTTTGATTGTTTTGAACATGACCATTTTCCTCTTAACTTACCCTAGCCGGAGCATTATCTAAGACTGTGGTTACCCACAGCTGGAAAGGTAAGAGGGCCAAGATGCCTGAGATAGCTGGAAGGGCTTTCTGATCCTGTAAGAAAAATGTTGATTTCTGAGGAATTTTAAAACTGCAGCCTAACCTCCTCATGAGACTGGTTCAGGTCTCTTGTCAATAGAGTTATCCTGTTTTATGATCAGACTGAACCCATCCTCTGTTTGTTGTTTGGCCTTGCTGGGATGTTTCATGACTACTCTGCAGTTCTTATCAACCTCCTTTAGCATACTCATGAAGCATCCTAGCTAGGCTAACAGGCGGGAAATTAGAATATGGAAGACACTGCTTAGAAACATATTACATTTAAATCACAGTTCAAATATGTGATCACCTCCAGTACACATGTGCACACACACACACACACAAAGGCAGCTTTAAGAGATTCTACCTCTTAGAAGGATGGCTGCTAGAAGTCATAATAAGGATAGCTTTAGGGACAGAGTCTTACAGGGACAGGGTCCTAGGTATGAATTTGAGAGGTTATACCTATAATAAATAGAGACTTAGTATGCACAAGACGTACTAATGCCCAAGGGACATGTTTTTCCTAGTTTTATAATCAGGATAATTTCTTCAATCTCTTGGGTTCTGAGTTACCCTTCTGTTCAGGAATCTGGTATCTCCCTTTGTAACTCATTCAATTAAACACATTTAACAACAACAACAAAAAAAAAGGTGAAGGTAGTTATTTTTCACCAAATCTGTTCACCAAGGCTGTTCTGATTTATCAGCTCTAATTTTTCTCATGTAAGATCTAATTTTTAAACATCTGCACTTTTCAAAAGTATCAATGAGAAGTTTCCTATGTATTCATCAAAACTTTACGTCTTTCCTCTCATAAATGAAGTTAAGGTTCAGGTCTTTTCTTTAATATTTTATATGACTTTAGAGATGGCTACTCTAAATTTGCTCCCTATCATATCCTCTGTTGAGAACATGTGCCCACTGATCCTTTACCTAACGGAGGTTGTTGGATGTAATGAGCAGCAAGGGCCTCATACAGACTTCAGTTTGTGATGCGTCTATGAAATCTTTAATAGCCAGAATCAAGAGAGACCGGAAAAGTCACTTAAAAGAATTGATAATTCAAGAAATGAAATACAGGGCTTTTTAAATTTTAAATGATGTGAAACCCATGTTAGTGAACTTGATAAGTGTATAGCAAACAAGACAATAAATAAATAAGAGAATAGATATTCTTGGATATACTGATAGTATTATTTTACCATGAAAGCAACAGATTGCTTTCAATAGATAATATTGATCCTCATTTCTAATGACATGAGAAATACTTGCTCCAAGTGAATCTGAAAGTATGGTCTTTGAGCGCCATTTCTATAATCCAAATACTCTGTTTAAAGGAAAAGGAAGATAGAGGATGAGAGTATTTTAACTGAGCATTTATTTTGCCAGTCTCTGTAATAAGTGTTTTCCAATTATTATTTTATTTCATCCTTACATTCTTCCAGATCAGTATTACTCCATTTGTTGATGGAAATAAAGCTCAGAGAGGTTGATTATATAGCCAAAAATTGCACAGCAATGGTAAGACATTTCAAATTGTTGCAAAGTTAAAAAGAGGCCAGGCGCAGTGGCTCATGCCTGTGATCCCAGCACTCTGAGAGGCTGAGGCGGGCAGATCACGAGGTCAGGAGATTGAGACCATCCTGGCTAACACGGTGAAACCTCATCTCTACTAAAAAAAATACAAAAAAAATTAGCCGGGCATTGTGGCGGGTGCCCGTAGTCCCAGCTACTCGGGAGGCTGAGGCAGGAGAATGGGGTGAACCCGGGAGGCGGAGCTTGCAGTGAGCTGAGATCACGCCACTGCACTCGCCTGGGCGACAGAGCGAGAATCCGCCTCAAAATAATAATAATAATTATTATTATGCTGTGTTCAGAAGCCTCCAAGGAAGTACTTTTAATGTTATTAATGGTTTTGCAAAATCAAAACAAGTGGGTAGAGATTAGTGGTAGGGAGAGGACGAAGCAGAGCACTTAGTGGTTTAGAGTATTTTGCTGTTGGCAGGAAGTCAACAATTTGTATAAAGATTGAGTAGCCCTGACATGGGCTATGGAGAGCTGTGAAATGACAGGAGTCATTACACCAGAATAGCAAATGGAATTCTTTTAGAAGTTGGCTCCTGGTTGAACAAGTGGAAGACAGCAACATTTTCAGAAGTCCTGCAGACACTAGTGCCGCTGACATAAAGAACAGTGTATCAAGTGGTAACAAATAGAAAATATATGTGGAGATATTTGTCTTTTCAAACACATGGCACAAGACCAAAACCAAGTAACTGTTATTGGAATCATCATTGAAAATTAGGGACATAAATATTTAAAATAAATAAATAATACATTCATTTATTTCATTATTAAATTGGTGTTATTATAACTACTTCACAACCGGAACACCTAAACTTTGGATGGTGAAATGACACTTATAAGGCAACACAAAAATTAAGAGAAGTACATGGGAACTCCCTGCCAACGATGTATAAGTTTGTTTCATCTGGCATTTGCCAACTTGAGTGGCAATATATTGTTTCTCTCGTAGATGTCACAAATGATCTAGTGAGATAAACTTGCATTAGCTCTCCAACTAAATAGAGTATGTGGCTCAACTACTGCCTCCCCTCCCAGACACACGTGTAGAACCCACACGTACAGCATTGCCTACACTCAAGAGTCTAAAATCCATTCCTAGAATTAGATTTTCTTAATTAAACAATTTGTGTAATTTTAAGGATCTTGAAAGGGCGTACCAGTCTATACCTCATGTGCGTGCGTATGTGTGTGTGTGCGCATTTGGTGTGGTGTGGTGTGTGTGTGGTATATTCCTTTTTTGTTCTGTTAATATGGTGTATCGTACTGATGATTGATTTTGAAATTTTAAACCAACCTAGCATTTCTAAATAAACTTCACTTGGTCACAATATATTGTCCTTAACATATATTGTTAGATTTGATTTGCTATTTTGTTAAGGATTTTGTGTCTACAGCGTATTTATGAGGGATACTGGTATGTAGTTCTATTTTATTTAGATACATTTTTCTGGTTTAGAATCAGGGTAACACTGGTCTTATTTAAGTTGCAGCGTATTCCCTTCTTCTTGATTTTCTCAAAGGATAATATTGGTATTACTTCTTTCTTCATTGTATAAAGTTCACCAAAAAGCCACCTGGGCCTGAAGTTTTCTTTGTGAGTCAGTTTTCACTTACAAATTTAATGCCTTTAGCTGATAAAAGGCTGCTCAAGTTTTCTATTTCTCCTTTCATCTTTGGCAATCTGTGCCTTGCAAAAAGTTTGTCCATTTTGTACAGTTTGCCAATTTATTGTCATAAAGTTGTCAAAATATTATTCTTCTAATGCCTGAAGCATCTGTAATCATGGCTCTTCTTTCATTCCTAATATTGGTAAATTGGTTATTCATGTCTTCTCATTCTTTTCTTATTTTTTATTTATTTATTTATTTTTTTGAGTTGGAGGCTCGCTCTGTCGTCCAGGCTGGAGTGCAGTGCTGTGATCTGGGCTCACTGCAACCTCCGCCTTCCAGGTTCAAGCGATTCTCCTGCCTCAGCCCCCTGAGTAGCTGGGATTATAGGCGCCCACCACCACGCCCGGCTAATTTTTGTATTTTTAGTAGAGACAGGCTTTCACCATGTTGGCGAGGCTGGTCTCGAACTCCTGACCTCAGATGATCCACCGACCTCGGCCTCCCAAAGTGCTGGGATGACAGGTGTGAGCCACTGCTCCCAGGCTTTTTTTTTTTTTTTTTTTTAATCAATCACAGGAGCAATTCCTGTGAACTAATAGGGAGAGGTCCAGGTAGAGCTATCTGATTGCAATGTAATTCTGACCCTGAGTGAAGGAAAAAAGGAAGGAAGACTGGGGAAGAGTCCCATGCTGTCTCACAGTCCAAGGAAAGTTTGGTTTGGCAAGGCCATCAGGGAGTCATTAATCAAAAACCAGCTGTCAGGGGAGTCCCATTTGTCTCCCAAATAGCAAGCCTTAGCACTAAGTCATGAGCTAGGTGCAGCCCGTAAGAACTGTGGCTTCCCTTGGTGTGATCATGGAGATTTCAACTAGCAGCAGCTAAACTCCCTATAGAAAGAAGGCTGGGAGGCACATTCTCATGGCTGCCACATTCTCTCCTGTGCATTCTTAACATCCTACATTTTCAGTGCCTTCCTGACTACTCCAGCTCACAAAGATGGCCAGGCAGTACTTATTGAATGAATGAATCCTCTGAATTCCTTAGCAGTTAATAGTCTCTGGCTTATATTTGTCATTTGCCATATACAGAATTACCTTGTATTCTAGTTCTATTTTTACATTTATATATCCAGGTTATATTGAAAGCCTTGCTTCATCAAGATTATTTTAAAGTACCTCAAAAACTTTATTAATTTGTTGATTAGCAATCTTCCTAGGTATGCACAAAAGGAAAAAAAATAAGATTATGACAACTTCCAGCAATAATTTACTTAAAAATAAACAGCTTAAAGTTATTAAGGGCATGATATGGAAAATGTCACTTATCTATTTATTCAACAACAAACACTTATCAAGGATCTATTGTGTGTCAGCCATGTGCTAAGTGAGTGTCTCACCATAAGGAATAAGACATATAAGCAGTCATCATTTTGCTTATAGGTTTTTGATACAGACACACAATAAACACATAAGTACATAGACAAATATGTAGAAGCGCTAGGGTTGGAAAGGTACCAAATGATAGCCCCCTGAAATTTTATTTATTCTATGTAATTGGTTAGTATTACGAAATTGAAGCATGTTTATATATAAAAGATAAGCTTAAGATAAATTGTCACAAAATTCAAAGTTGAGAAATCAGTAAATAATGGTCACATTTCCCCTCCAGATAGAGAAACCAGGCTATCTTCTTCAAATATTTCCAGAATTGCATCTGTCACAGAGCCTTTGTACCCTACATGAGATAGAGATATCTATAAAGCTTTAATAGAATCAGATTGATTTATTAATTTATTTACCCAGTCTGTTTTTCATGCTTCATTACTTAGTTCCGGGAAACACAAAGGTGAAGAGGACATATTCCATATTCATAATTGTTTAACCACATGAGTGAATGTCTAAAGGTGACAATTTGCTTCTAGTATCTAGTGTTTATTTGCAGTCTATTTCTTTTTTCCCACTATGTCAATACTTTAACAGCTGTATATGGAATGCTTGCAACAAACCTGGTGATGGGGAATTATAAATGAATAAAATACACTTTTCTCAGCCTCAAAAAATGTCTGCAATTAGATAATAATTCTAATAGAAAATATTTATGAATCTCCTATGGATATCTTATACAACTTTACATTGTAGTCTGAAGGAAATCAAGCTTTAACTTTATAATTGAAAAATTTCTCCAAGTTAGTTATACACAGTTTACTTTGGAAAACTGACATAGTGGATATGAAATAGTTTTTGTTTTTCTTCTAGGAAAGTCTTAATAGACATCGATACTTGAATTCTTTATTTCCCAGTGAAAACTCCACCGCCTTCTATGGAATAAATCAGTTTTCCTATTTGTTTCCTGAAGAGTTTAAAGGTATAGTCCGATGTTGCTATTTAGGTGGTTTCCTGATTTTAATTTGCTTGCTTAACTTTTGATAAATATTTCATTGTAAATCTAATATATTGAGTAATAGTTAACATTTATTAAGTGTCTACTAAATGTCAGGCATGTACCATGTGCTCACATAAGAAAATAAATTCATGGCCAGTCTCTTCTAATTACTGCTTAAGAAATGAATGTTATAATTATGCACATTTCCATGTGGCTATAAAGGATAATTGTCTAATCACTTCTGCAGTTTTCTAGTGCTTTTTCTCTTCAGGACACACATGGTTCCATGGGTTATGATAGAACAAATGATGTCAATTATACTTATTTTTATTATTGACCTGGTTCTATCAAACAAATCATTTTATGTGTCAACTCCAGCCTTATTGTAGGAATTCTCTTTTGTAGTTTTTAATGAATGCATTTTATGTTATAGAAAAGCACAAGAGAAAATCTAAAATAGCAGGTCTACTAGAAGGCTACTGTTTCTTCTTTAAAAGTTCCTCCCAAAGAATCTCAAGGATATAATATAATATAATATTGGTTGTCTTTTAGTATAATATTGGTTGTCTCCCTATAATATAATATTGATTGTCTTTATATATAACAAATATATATGATATATATAATATAATATATTGTAATATAATATTGGTTGTATTTTCATTTTATGTTTCTACTCAGCCATTTATTTAAGAAGCAAACCTTCCAAGTTTCCCAGATACTCAGCAGAAGTACATATGTCCATCCCCAATGTGTCTTTGCCGTTAAGATTTGACTGGAGGGACAAGCAGGTTGTGACACAAGTGAGAAACCAGCAGATGGTACGTTGAAATCCCTCTTCTTTTCTAATCATCTAAGCATTGAAAGGCAGCTTTGAGGTCAAGTTTAATCAAAGTTGTAATGGAAACATCATTTCTCTAGGAAAATCACATCTCAGTCATCCAAAAATGACAATGAAAAGAGAATCTCTGGAGGAATGAGAGTCAAATGTCAAAGCCCTGACTTTTATTTCTGAAGATAAACCTTCCTTGCTGTGTACTCTTACTAATTGCCATTGCCACCAACACAATAACTCAGGGATACTTCCCAGTAGCTGTAATAACAGCTCAGGGATACTTCCCAGTAGCTGTATCACAGATACCAAGCTTTCTGTACAATAGCAGATGAGAGGCTGGAGAAGGTAAACATGAGCACTAAAGGCTTAAATGGTTCAAGAAAAAAAAAGTGAAAAAGTAAAATGAAAATGGATACATTTACCAACAGTGTGGCCGAATCTCCTGGGTTCTCAAGCCTCATCTTGCAAGCTCTGTCAGAAAATCTGCCCCCGTCTTCACAGGATCATATACCTTTGAATCTGTGGGCCTTAAAAGTATAGTTAGTAGTCAGTTCAGCCATAACGTGACGCATACATTCCAGAAAATCACCACCTATGCAGAATTGAGCAGTAGCATGACAGGGATTATGGGAGAAATGAGGTTAGGTTACACTACCTACGAGCTTAGTCAATGACATATGTTTTAAAAGACAGAAAACTAATAGACACAGTAGCACAGTTTTACACATGTTTACTGATTAAGAAATATGTAAGTACTGCAATAAATATAGCAATTTACCTTGAAAAGAGACTCAAAGTGTGCTGAGGACATGGGAGTTGGCAGGGCAGCAGCTTGTGAGTTATTCTGAAGTGGTGGAAGGAGGTGCCTTTGAACTAGGAAGGAAAGTGGTAAGAGCAGATGTGGGTGGGTATGACCTATAATGCATGTAGTGAACCCACCTAGCTGGCAGACGTTTGAGGGGTGTGTGCATACTTTGCTGACCTTCCCTACCCGTCTACACTCCCAACTGTTGGCAAAGGGAATGCCTGCCAAACAGGCAAAGTCAAACCCCTAACCAGAGGGGATAGTCTCAGTTTGTCTGCAGTGGAAACCTCAACAGATCATTCAGCCTTCCCTTTTATGGAAAGTGTTTTGGTGCCAGCTGTTTCGCAGTCAATGTGTAGTTAGAATGATTTTTGCTTCTCAGAGTCTATATTTATTTTTGTACATTAAGTTTTACCACCAAATCATTTGCTTTATTATTGGATTTGTAATAACATGTCAATTAGACATAAATCTAATCCTTTCAAAAATTGTCCACAGTGTATTGAAGAGGGAACTTTTAATTAGAGATCTTTAATTAAAGGAATATATGAGAGACTTTTTTTTTTTTTAAGCAGGAACTGCCCTTGTGGCTTGACTAAAGCTGGCTATAGGGGTGATGTCAGCAGCCTGTTACCTTTTCTCTTTTTTTTTTTTGAGACGGAGTCTCACTCTGTCACCCAGGCTGGAGTGCAGTGATGCGATCTCGGCTCACTGCAACCTCCACCTCCCAGGTTCAAGAGATTCTCCTGCCTCAGCCTCCTTAGTAGCTGGGATTACAGGTGCGCACCACCATGCCTGGCTAATTTTTGTATTTTTAGTAGAAACGGGGTTTCACCATGTTGGTCAGGCTGGTCTTGAACTCCTGACCTCATGATCCGCCTGCCTTGGCCTCCCAAAGTGCTGGGATTACAGGCATGAGCTGCCCTGTGTTCACCTTTGTCAAAGTTTGGAGACCCTGCTGTATGGTCACTTAGTGAGTGTTTTTACTATGCCATAGGCACTAGAGATAGAGATATAACCTTTAAAAAAGCACTTAAAGCCATAAAGTTGCTCAAAACTTAACTCTGCAAAGATATCCAATTGTCATTCCTTTTTTTTTTTTGGTCTAACTCTGCCACACATGGCCCTCCAGTTATGTTAGTTTCATCCAGTCTCAAATCCTACTCTCTTCTGCCTTTTCTGTGGATCCTTCTTCCTTTTACGTGATCCTACGATCCCTAATTTCATTCCCTCTGTCTCCTCTCTTTCTTTCAGGACTAGTTCTTTTATTCTTTTGTTCTAGTTTGTTAAGTAAAAGCAAATTAAGAGATCCACTATCAGCATGATTGGCAGCCAATACTGGAGTAATGACTAATATGGATTTATATCCTTAGGACATTTCATGTACATCCACTATAAGCATACTTAATCGGGCATCTTTATAGCCTAAAGAGTAATTCATTAATATTTATTAATTCTCTTATCTCCATCAAATAATTAGCACAACATGCATCTTTCCCCTCCTCACCCTTAGGATGGAAGTGGTGTATGACCATGGAAGCAGAGTGTCCTTAAAAAAGCAAGGGGGATGGAAGGTTGGGGCGGGAGTCGGCACACACTCTCCAGAAGAAAAGCCACTTACAAAGAGAAGTCACATATTCAGTGAACTGAATGGTCTTTTAGAAGATCATCAGTTAGCCCAAGTATTTCCTCGGTCTCTAAAAATTCACTTTTATCTTGCATTGCCAAATTTAGAATAGTAATAATGCTGACAACATGAACTAATAATTAAATGATGCTCAAAAGAGACTTTTGGTTTTCTCTTTTTTTCAGTTTAAAAATCTAGAGGATAGGCGTATTTATTTTGTAGGTTTCCAGAATCTGGAAGCCTTACTTGATTTGATAACTTGTTACATTTAGAGATGTTGGTAAGTTGATTTAAACCCTGGAAATACCACCCCTTTTTCTGTTTTTAAACAGTGTGGAGGATGCTGGGCCTTCAGCGTGGTGGGGGCAGTGGAATCTGCTTATGCAATAAAGGGGAAGCCCCTGGAAGACCTAAGTGTCCAGCAGGTCATTGACTGTTCGTATAATAATTATGGCTGCAATGGAGGCTCTACTCTCAATGCTTTGAACTGGTTAAACAAGGTGACTAGTCTCTCAACCTCTTAAACTCTTTATTTCCTTTTTTGCTTGTTTACTGTGTGTTCAAAATTCAAACAGTTTGTTCACATATATTAAATAATGTTTCCACGTTCGGAAATGTAGATGATCAAAGCGTGAAGTAATTAATCAGAATATTTAAAAATGAATCACTTCTAGGCAAAGCAGTTGTCAAGAAATCAAAAGGGGAAAAATCTGAAGTCTGTCTTCAGAGAAATATTTATATTTATTTCTTAACATTTCTTAATATATACATGCTTTTTTGCAGATCTGAATATCTCATAATATCCCGGAAAGATGAGAATATATTTTTTTTATTTTCATAGAATTTCTGAATGTTAAGGTTAAAAGGAACATTAGAGACTAATTTTTTAGCTCTTTTTTGTTGTTGTTGTTTTTGAGACAGAGTCTCACTCTGTCACCCAGGCTGGAGTACAGTGGCACAATCTTGGCTCACTGCAACCTCCACCTCCCGGGTTCAAGTGTTTCTGCTGCTTCAGCCTCCGGAGTAGCTGGGAACTATAGGTGCCCACCACCACACTTGGCTAATTTTTTTGTTTTTTTTGTTTTTTGTTTTTTGTTTTTGTTTTTTTAGTAAAGACATGGTTTCACCATATTGGCCAGGCTGATCTCGATCTCCTGACCTTGTGATCCACCCGCCTCAGCCTCCCAAAGTGCTGGGATTACAGACATGAGCCACCACACCCAGCCTGTAGCTCTTTTTATAGATGAAGAAATGAAGCCTGAGAAGTGAGATCATTTTGTCAAGTCAGTAGCTGAGCCGGAGTTGTACCTTCAGTCCCCAGCCTCTCACAGTAGGGCTTTGCTCAGTATACCCCAGTGTCCCTCAGCGTTCTTAGCACTTGCCCTGACAGTGTCCCAGATCCGATATCAACTGCATGAAATTTGCCAATGAGGGTGCTATTAGTTTCTGTAGAACGTCATCAAACCAGAGTTCCCCAAACCTGAATTCTCTTCCATTATCCATTGGTTGCATTTTTAATCACGTATTCCAGGACCTGCTCTGTACACACTGTAGACGACAATGAATTATGAGTCTCCTCCCTTTCATTAGCCTAGCATTCAAAAAGGGAGGGTTTTGTACAGATAACTATGAAGTATTTGACATATGCTATATGAATGGCATAAAAGTGAAGTGATAGAAAGAATGCTTGACCTAACCGTTGCCTGTGTATAAACCACTGGATGGAATCTGAAAGACTTGGCAGAACCAGAAGCACTGGGAGGAAAGTGAGCTGCCCTATAGCACCGTCAGGAGAAAGATGACAAGACTGTTACTAGATCCATGGAGGATCTACAAAAGGATGCTGTAAGATAAAGAGAAGTAAGGGAGAAGGAAAGATATTGACTCCAAATGTCTAGACTATCCAGAACAAGCACCTAAAGATTTAATTTATAATATTAAAAACCCAAAGTATAGGCTGGGCACAATGCCTCACACCTGTAATCCCAGTATTTTGGGAAGCCAAGGCAGGTGGATTTCTTGAGTCCAGGAGTTTAAGACCAGCCTGGGCAACAGAGTGAGACCCCATCTTTACAAAAAATACAAAAAATTAGCCTGGCGTGGTGGCTCATACCTGTAGTCACAGCTACTGGGGAGACGGAGGTGGGATGATCACTGGTGCCCAGGAGGTGGAGATTGCAGTGAGACGAGATCGAGCCACTGCACTCCAGCCTGAGCAACCAAACAAAACTCTGTCTCAAAAAAGAAAAAGAAAAAAAAAAGAACGCAAAGTATATCCACATGATGAAGGTGTGTGAAATTGAACCTGTTTTGACACAGTGAAGTAAGTTCTATTTGATTTATAAAACAATTGACAGTAAACATGTTCAGTGATTGTTTTCTTTTAGATGCAAGTAAAACTGGTGAAAGATTCAGAATATCCTTTTAAAGCACAAAATGGTCTGTGCCATTACTTTTCTGGTTCACATTCTGGATTTTCAATCAAAGGTTATTCTGCATATGACTTCAGGTAAAGATCTTATTGTATTATGTTTTTCTTTATACATTTTTAATTTATGATCTATTGACTGGTTAATAATTTGTTTGAAGGCATCACTGCATACTCTTAATCCTTGTAAAACATACTTTTTACTAGAAAGAGTAGCAATTACAATGAAATGTTGTAAATGTTGTTTCTTAATTATAATCTACTTATTTTCCCAAGTGTCATTACGATAGAAATGAAAAATTTTAATTCTGTGTAAGGTACAATTTATATGTATATTTATTTGTTATATTTTATATTTTATTATACTTACAAATTATTAGTGCATAATTTATATTTATATATACCACCTTCATCTTATCAAATTTAGGTGTTATATTACCATTAGCATATTTCAATCTTAATGGTGAGTCCATCCAGAATTGCTTTGTACAGACTGTGCAGCTAATATCACGTAGGCTACATATCAGGAAGCATATTTTGAACACCTTCTATGTTCTTTGCATTTTTCAAGACATCAGCCATTTGAAAAATATAACACAAAACTTCAGATTAGAGAAAAGAGGGAAGCATATACTACTGAAGATAAATTATGTAGCATACACTATAAGCATGATGGGAATGTAGGGATAGATAAAGACAGGCTGAGGAAAAGGACTTGTGTTGGAACTGAAGGGCAGGATAACTTTGGATAGTTTTGGGGAAAACAATCATTAAAAATGCTTTAAAAACACATGAAAAACACAGAGCTGGCTGGAGACTCATCATGACCATTTGATAGAGTGCAAAATAGGTGTTCATGGGTGAAAAGGACAAAGGGAGACCCAACCAACTCCTGGCTTCATTAAGAAAATATATGATGGGAACTTTGCAGTCTTTTGAAACAGAGAAAACAGGAACTAAATTAAATTTGGATAAGGTAACAGAATCCCCTATGACTTAGTGGTCCTGAATATAAAATAATCCCTTGATCCAGATGGTATCTACCCATGGGATCTGAAAGAAATCAAGGGTGAAATTGCGTCCTTGAACAAAATGTACCCGTTTAAATGAGCATAAGTGTGCCAGAGAACTGTCAGGTTGTCAACACAGCTCCGGTCTGCAACAAGGGTCCTCAGGGTGACACCAGGAACCATACACCAGACAGCCTTAATTCCACAGCTGGCAGACCATGTAGGATTTATAATAAAATGTGCAGGGTCACTGAGTACCGTGGTCAACATCTCATTTGGGGATAAAGGTAATGTGCTTTCTAAAATCAGAAAGTATGCCCTATAAACTCTGACTTCCTTGAGAGTATAAGGGAAGGATGTGTACAAGAAAAAACTAGATTTACAAAATATCATTAAAAGGGATTAAGGGAATCCCTTATCATGGTAGGAAATTGAAAAAAAAATTAAGAAGAAGCAAAAGAATAATAGGCATTAGTCTGAATTAAGGGAAAGAGAGAATGCAGGAGTTGTTGGCATTGGGCCTTTGATTAGGAAGGAAGAGGTCCCAATCAAAATATCTTGTTTATATTGAAGATTAAACTCTAACAGTGCAATGCTAAACTGATAGCATTTGACTGCAAGAAGATCTTTCTTTGATTTATTTATTCATTCAAATATTTACTGACTTTTTTTTAAGTTCTGGGGATTTGGCAGAGAACAAAACAGACAAAAACCTTGCCCTCATTAGTAATTGAGACAGACAGTCACAAAAAATAAAAATACATGTGGCATATTGGCTGTAATAATTAACAAAGAGAACAAATGAAAACAGTGGGAGGAAGAGAAACGATCTGGTAGTAGGGGGAGTGTACAATTTGAGAAAGGGTTGCCTGGCAGGGCCTCACTCACTGAAAAGGTTATGTTCAAGTGAAGACTTGGAGAAGTGCGTGGACTTAACCACGCAGATATGTGGGGGAACATGGTTCCAAGCAGAGAGGCTGTAAATGCAAAGATCGTGAGGCAAAAACATGTCTGGCATGTTAGAACAATGATGAAGCCACTGTGGCTGTAGTGTGGAGAAGAAAGACAAGACTAGTAGGAGATGAGGTCATACTGTCCCTGTATTAGTCTGCTTTCGTGCTGCTGATAAAGACATACCCAAGACTGGAAAGAAAAAGAGGTTTAATTGGACTTACAGTTCCACATGGCTGAGGAGGCTTCAGAATCACGGCAGGAGGTAAAAGGCACTACTTACGTGGCGGCAGCAAGAGAAAATGAGGAAGAAGCAAAAGCGTAACCCCCGATAAACCCATCAGATCTTGTGAGACTTATTCACTATCACAAGAATAGCATGGGAAAGACCAGCCCCCATGAATTCAATTACCTCCCCCTGGGTCCCTCCACAACATGTGGGAATTCTGGGAGATACAATTCAAGTTGAGACTTCGGTGGGGACACACCCAAACCATATCATTCCATCCCTGGCCCCTCCAAATCTCATGTCTTCACATTTCAAAACCAATCATGCCTTGCCAACAGTCCCCCAAAGTCTTAACTCATTTCAGCATTAACCCGAAAGTCCACAGTCCAAAGTCTCATCTGAGAGAAGGCAACTCCCTTCCGCCTATGAGCCTGTAAAATCAAAAGCAAGCTAATTACTTCCTAGATGCAGTAGGGATACAGGTATTGGGTAAATACGGCCATTCCAAATGGGAGAAATTGGCCAAAACAAAGGAGTTAGAGGGCCCATGGAACTCCAAAATCCAGCAGGCAGTCAAATTTTAAAGTTCCAGAGTGATCTCCTTTGACTCCAGATCTCACATCCAAGTCATGCTGATGCAAGATGTGGGTTCTAATGGTCTTGAGCACCTCTGCCTCTGTGCTTTGCAGGGTACAGCCTCCCTCCTGGCTGCTTTCACGGTCTGGCATTGAGTGTCTGTGGCTTTTCCAGGTGCATAGTGCAAGCTGTCAGTGGATCTACCATTCTGGGGTCTGGAGGACAGTGGCCCTCTTCTCGCAGCTCCTGTGGGACTCTGTGTGGAGCCTCCAACCCCACATTTTTCTTCTGCACTGCGCTAGCAGAGGTTTTCCATGAGGGCCCTGCTCCTGCAGCAAACTTTTGCCTGGGCATCCAGGCATCTCCATACATCTTCTGAAATCTAGGTGGAGGTTCCCCAATCTCAATTCTTGTCTTCTATGTACCCGCAGGCTCAACCCCAAATGGAAGCTGCCAAGGCCACAGCCTGAGCTCTATGTTGGCCCCTTTGAGCCATGGCTGGAGCATCTGAGACACAGGGCACTAAGTCCCTAGGCTGCACACAGCACAAGGACCCTGGGCCTATCCCACAAAACCACTTTTTCCTTCTGGGCCTCCGAGCCTGTGATGGGAGGGGCTGCCGTGAAGGTGTCTGACATAACCTGAAGACATTTTCCCCATGGTGTTGGGGATTAACATTAGGCTCCTTGCTACTTACGCAAATTTCTGCAGCTGGCTTCAATGTCTCCTCAAAAAATGGGTTTTTCTTTTCTACTGCATCATCAGGCTGCAAATTTTCTGAACTTTTATGCTCTGTTTTCCCTTTTAAAATGGAATGCTTTTAACAGCACCCAAGTCACCTTTTGAATGCTTTGCTGCTTAGAAATTTCTTCCGCCAGATACCCTAAATCATCTCTCTCAAGTTCAAAGTTCCACAAATCTCTAGGGCAGTGGCAAAATGCTGCCAGTCTGGTTGCTAAAACATAACAAGAGTCACCTTTGCTCCATTTCCCACAAGTTTCTCATCTCCATCTGAAACCACCTCAGCCTGGACCTAATTATTGTTCATATCACTATTGGCATTTTGGTGAAAGCCATTCGACAAGTCTCTAGGAAGTTCCAAACTTTCCCACATTTTCCTTTCTTCTTCTGAGCCCTTGAAACTGTTCCAACTGTCTGCCTATTACCCAGTTCCAAAGTCACTTCCACATTTTCAGGTATCTTTTCAGCAGTGCCCCAATCTACTAGTACCAATTTACTATGAGTCCATTTTCATGCTGCTGATAAAGACATACCCGAGACTGGGAAGAGAAAGGTTTAATTGGACTTACAGTTCCACATGGCTAGGGAGGCCTCAGAATCATGGCGGGAGGAGAAAGGCACTTCTTACATGGTGGCGGCAAGAGAAATTGAGGAAGAAGGAGAAGTGGAAACCCCTGATAAAATCATCAGATCTCATGAGACTTATTCACTATCACAAGAATAGCACTGGAAAGACTGGCCCCCATGATTCAATTACCTCCCCCTGGGTTCCTCCCACAACACATGGGAATTCTGGGAGATACAATTCAATTTGAGACTTGGATGGGGACACAGCCAAACCATCTCAGTCACCAAGCAGTGGCCTTAGAGCAGGGTGTTAGGAGAATGGCCTTGGAGATGAGAGATGAGGGGTATGTATAGATTAATACCCCTCACAGAGGGTAAAGCCCTACACAGTTTTTTATTGGAGAGGAGATAAGAGAGAAGAGAGTCTAGGAGGATTCCCGGCCTTTTGATCTCAATGACTGAAAAATAGAATTACCATTAATGAAACTTGAAAGTCTAAGACAGGAACAGATTTAGAAGGAAACAGTAAGAGTTCAGTTGGAACACCTAGGAAGTGATCCCAGGAAAGACTGGTAATGGGGTGGGGAAATGAGAGAACCGGGGCAGCAGGGTTTCTTGATTAAACCAGTTAGTGCTGTGGCTAACCTCATGCTTAGTCCTGCTGGGGAACTCTGGCAGCCAGGGTAAAATGTACACTTCAGTGCCATCCCATCCAAGTTGGTGATTGTCGTCTTCCCTGATTCATTAGTTGAGGGTGCATCTGGGGATGGAAATGGGGACTGGGCTTGCTTTCCTGGCTCTAGGAGGAAAAGGGCTCAGGGAAAGAACTGCAGGATCTCATTGTTGCAAGTTGGGTGAGTGTGCATTGCAGTGGTGACAGCCTTAGGATGTGTGAAGGTCTTCCAAAGCATTTGCTATAACTGGGCACAAGACCTGGTCCTTTGTACTTCAATAATATTATTTCCATGTATGGTGGATGCCTGAGACTCAGGGAGAGCCATATAGCTAGTAAACTGTGGAGTCGGATTAGAACTCATATCTGTTCAACTCCAAAGCTTGTGCTTTTACTCCCAACACTATTGGTAACGTCATGTGGTCTTAGGTTTTCAGCCAAACGCTCCTTAAAACATTGTACAGAACCTGAAAGCATCTAAGAAGGGAAAAAAATCATCTAAAATATAAAAACATAACCTAATTTTAAAGCAAAATGACCATTCCCACCCAGGGTTCTTCATGAATTTTTGTTTATCAGACCCCAGAAATTTCAGGACTCAAACTACAATATGAGAATGACTATGTAAATAAACAAAAACTGTAGGAACCTACTACATATAACAGTAGTCAGAAAAATTCAGACACAGTATAACACACTGAATTCTAGGGAAGATGAGATGAAAATCCACATTATGAAGCATCAGTAACAGGTCAGACTTGCCTTCATCGCCGCATCTTGATGACAATAAAATTTAGGAAAATTATTTGAACTATTATTATTATTCCATTCATTATAATAATAATGAATAATAATTATAATTCATTAATCAATGATTAATAATAATTATAATAATAATTCGTTATAATAATAACGAATTATTATTTCCAAAACTGTAGGTTTTGGAAATTATTAATCTGTGAAATGAATAGTAAGCTCATGGAATCAATGTTTGATAATAAAGCCATTATAACAATGTACATGTTGATAGTAGTTCTATATTGGGTTAATAATGGAAATTAAAATGCTGTCTGGAGCATTATTTGAACTCTCTAAAAGCTGACATCTTTCTGAAAGACAAATGATAGCAATGCCACTCAATTCTGGGGCCAAATGGAACATTTGCCTCTGCTTATGACTGAGGCTTGTCCTTCTATTTCTTACTTCTAATCTTTGATATCTTTTTTCAGCTCTGGCCCAAATCAGGGATTATTACTAAATTGTTTCTTTGATTCTGCAATGTCAGTTACCCTTTGCATTCTAAAAATATTCCTTCTTCTTGATCTTTCTGCTTTTCTCCTGGTATCCCTGAAACTGGATCTTTGATGAGATGAACTTCCAGTAATCCTTTGTTTTCTTCAATTGATGGAGACGGCTGTGTTCTGGTTGATAGAAAGATTATTATATATATCATGTTTAAATCATGAACTATGCTAAGAATTTTGATACAATAAGATATACTTTATACACTAAATCCTATGGGGAACACAATTAGTTATTAGATAAGTTAGAAATGAGGGAAATAAATAATCCTTATTGTAAACTTGGAGTAAAACTTATGTGCTGGGCATGCTACATAATTTATGTCTTGCAAAATTGTATGCCATAATTTTATCCTTGTATTGATTCTGCATGGTAGGTTGAATGGCTGCAGTGTATAGTTGGAATTTGAACCCAGGTGTGGGACAATTAAAAACCTATAACCTATCATGATGCCTTTTAAAAATTTTACAATTTTGCCTGTCTCAGGATAATCTTAGTTAATATGAACTGTTTTACAGTAGCAAAAATTAGAAATATCTACTTATAGATCTCAAAAAGCAGATATTCATGTTAATAGTTAACATGAATAAATGTATAAAATGAATATATAGTTTCTATTTCAATCAATTCCATTATTATGCAGTCAACTTTTTGCTCCTCTGTGGACAAAATATTCCCTCTCTAGAAACTGGTCTCCAGCTGGTCGTCATGAAAGATTATTTACTTACTTATTAGTGGATTATTACCACTAATCCACCCATGGCTTGCTATAGCAGTAAACTATCAAATGTTATCTTAATAGTTTGAACTATTAGGAACTTGGTTTCAGTATCCTTCACCCACAAAGCTGACCTTTGAAAAGTGTAAATAATGATTTGATCACTCACTTGTAAGATCAATGAAGGACAAATGTTGTATAATATGAGACTTTATGTCCATGTGTGAAAACAATAATTGTGTATTTTGCAGTCTTCACAGTTGAACACCTAGTTCTCCGGGCATCCTAACATTTCTTCTCTTTTTAAAATATTTGCTTAACATTGCTTCTATTGTATAATTATATTAGCCACTTTTGAGTAGCCCTTCCCTATAATTTCTATATTTGACAATGACTAACATGAGTTAGTCTCTTGATTCTCATGGTGTGGCAGAGATGGCAAGGTATCGCCAAATATCTAGTCTTTCCACTTTCCTTAATAAAAGAAGCCCTATGTCTTAACTAATTTTCCAGCCAGCTACAGAACTCATTCCCCATCTTCCTTTAAGCTAGACTTAGCCATATGACTGAGTTCTGGCCAATGAGATCCGTGAAGATATATGTGGAAGTGTTGCGGGTTATTTCTGGGAAGTCTTCTCAACAGAGATGTATCACTTCTGCTTTCTACTTCCTGCTGTCTTAAATATGTGTTAAATGGCTGGAGTCCCAGCAACCATCTTGGACCATGAATGGACCCTGAAAATGGAAACCTTTGAATAGCAGGACAATGATAGAGAAAGAGCTTGGGTTCCTGATATCCTGAAACCCTATCCCAGCCATAGACTACCAGTCTCTCAGACTTAGCTTCCATTGTTTAGGTCCTTTGTAACTGCAACCAAACCTACTCAGAATCATACACAGATTATATAGATCATTGTTATTTTTACCTTAAAAACTAAATTTTCTAACCAAATATTTCCTCTTTTGGTAGTGACCAAGAAGATGAAATGGCAAAAGCACTTCTTACCTTTGGCCCTTTGGTAGTCATAGTAGATGCAGTGAGCTGGCAAGATTATCTGGGAGGCATTATACAGCATCACTGCTCTAGTGGAGAAGCAAATCATGCAGTTCTCATAACTGGGTTTGATAAAACAGGTAAGTGCTGATAAGACTCAGTTGACTGCTTTCCAGCATGGACACTGAGTGCAAAATGATCACCATACTGTAGAACATTGAAATTTGGTTCTGCTATGATTAAGTCCTCATAAGACCTTCACAACTTCTCAACAATCTTATAGGAGTAAATGTGCCGAGACCAGCTCAGTTGTGGAGACCCTAACCCAGCGGCGCTAGAGGAATTAAAGACACACACACAGAAATATAGAGTGTGGAGTGGGAAATCAGGGGTCTCACAGCCTTCAGAGCTGAGAGCCCCGAACAGAGCTTTACCCACATATTTATTGACAGCAAGCCAGGGATAAGCATTGTTTCTATAGATTATAGATTGACTAAAAGTATTCCTTATGGGAAATAAAGGGATGGGCCGAAATAAAGGGATAGGTCTGACTAGTTGTCTGCAGCAGGAGCATGTCCTTAAGGCACAAGATTGCTGATGTTATTGTTTGTGGCTTAAGAACGCCTTTAAGCAGTTTTCTGCCCAGGGTTCGGCCAGGTGTTCCTTGCCCTAATTCCGGTAAACCCACAACCTTCCAGCGTGGGCGTCATGGCCATCACGAACATGTCACAGTGCTGCAGAGATTTTGCTTATGGCCAGTTTTGGGACCAGTTTATGGCCGGATTTGGGGGGCCTGTTCCCAATGTAAATGTCTTGTCAGATTCCACCTGTCAATTTTTGAGTGGATATCCTGTTAAAATGATGATAATTTTTGTTGATATAAAACTGTATCGGGAACATTTAGAATAATTGTTGGGAAAAGGTAAGTGCATATTATTTTATCATACGTATCTAAAAGTTCTTTTTTCTTTTTCTGATTCCTTGGAAATTAGTGTTTGTTTTCATTTTATGCAGTCCCTGTATAAAGGGAAGTGAATTCAAACATATATTTCTACTGATTGGAGAGTGTCCGTAAGTACTGCTCAGGTTTACTTAGTTAAAATAAAGTAGTTTAAGTTACCATTAAATTACATTTTTAATCTTCTTCTCAGAGCTACTATCCTTAGCAAGAATCCAACTTAAAATAAAGAAACTTAAACATTCATAACAAATTTGAGTTTTCAGGATTTGTTACTATTTATGTTTCACTGTAGGAAGCACTCCATATTGGATTGTGCGGAATTCCTGGGGAAGTTCTTGGGGAGTAGATGGTTATGCCCATGTCAAAATGGGAAGTAATGTTTGTGGTAAGTCATGAGTTTGTGTTTAAAACCTCAATATAAATATTAAGGAGATTATTTGAATATTTTAGAGTTACAATCTACTCAAACCACTTTAGCAGTAATAATTTTTGTCCTTTAACCAAATGATAAAAAAAAAAGTGTTTTGCAAGAGGAACTGTTAAACATATTAGTATTTGAAAAAGGAAGAGGGACCTTAGTAAAAAATATATATTACATATATATCTCAAAACATAAGATAAAGTAATAATTTACCAAGGTTAATTGCTTTAAAAATGAGATAAACACACAGCTTAGGAGACTGGACTCCTGCAGAAATGTCTTCTTGTTCCAAATTTACATTTCATAACTATAAATTTTTCTTAATTTCTGTATTATAATATCTGCTCAATGATTATCAAGAGTTTTTCTTTGTTTTAAAATATACGAAAACTAAGCATTAGTATTGTTTGTGATTTAATATGCCCCTTGCCACCTACAAAATTCTAGCAAAACACCCACTAGAATTGAGAGGCTTAGGCAAATACCAAACATGCTTTTTTATTGAGTGACAACTTTTTTTTTTTTGAGATAGAGTCTCGCTCTGTCTCCCAGGCTGGAGTGCAGTGGCATGATCTCGGCTCACTGCAAGCTCCGCCTCCCGGGTTCACACTCTTCTCCTGCCTCAGCCTCCTGAGTAGCTGGGACTACAGACTCCCGCCACCACACCTGGCTGATTTTTTGTTTTTGTATTTTTAGTAGAGACGAGGTTTCACCGTGTTAGCCAGGATGGTCTCAATCTCCTGACCTCGTGATCTGCCCTCCTTGGCCTCCCAAAGTGCTGGGATTACAGGCGTGAGCCACCACGCCCAGCCTGAAACACAACTTTTTAAATGAACCACCAACCAAACTAAAATAGCTAGTTAAGAATTTTAACCGTGTTATAAAACTATATTCAAACCTATATTCTAAAACTTTTGGTCTAGAAATCAACATATTTTCTGAATCAAGCTAGACCCAAACTAAGTTACATATTAGAGCAATCATGTCATTTCTTATTATAATTTGTTCCAACATATATACAATTTTTTTAAATGCAGAATCTTTCAGATTATGAGACTGATTAAATAGTTACAGAAAAATTTGAAAGTTTATGTTCAATGACTATTAACCAATCATTCCATAAGGCAGAATCCATGAGAGTTCATGAGTGATCTGTTCTATCACCCTGATGAGACAGTTTTTATAAGTTATTCATTGAAAAAAGTCAACATCACAGAAATATATTGGCCAGAATACTAGCAACCCCATCAGGCCTCCACTTTTCAGCATCACTGGGGACTCGTACATCTTTGGAACTTGCAGATAAATGACTGATGCTAATCATTAACCCTTGCTGCTGAACATATATTATGTCCGACTGCAGCAGTGGTGGATCCTGGATTTGGGCTGAGGGGTGACTGCTTTCAAATCTCTTACAGGAGTGTTAAAATAACATAATTCAAATATTGGTTCATAATTGCCTCAATTATAACTACGTCCCTCACCACAACCTTTCTCCATCCCTCAGCTACTAAGGGTGAGTGGAGATAATTTCTGCTCTCTACCTGCTTTCATAATGTAAATCTTTAAGGGCATGCCTGGTTGGTAATCATACAGGGATTCAAATTCTTCCTGAAAGTGAGTATTCCCTGAAAGTTACAATGATGTCATATTACTCTTATGAGCAATGGCATAAGGCAGATAGTATTTCATAGCTGCAAGAGATTTCGAAGATACGGTTAGTTATAATAAAAACCAGTCTTCAGATAGGCTATTTATTGCTTTTGCCATGATGTTGCAATCTGTGTTCTCGTGTGTAAAGAAAGCATAGCACACTCGTGATTTATTAAAGTTTTACCCACATTCAAATTTTAGAATTTGAGTTATGAAATTGTATTTAAAATAATTTCTTAAGTTATTTTGCCTCTAAGAAATAATGTATTAGTTTAATACAGCTTCCAGATGCATTCATTTATTCAGTTAACAGGTAGTTTTTGTTGTGGATTTTTAAAATCTTTAAAATTATTTTAGTTTCTTCAAACAAAAATATTAGGCATACTTCTAATATGCCTAATCTCTTCTAATATCTGCTTTTGATGATACCATGTTTACATTGACAAGCTGTGATAAGCATTACATTATTTTCTCAGTAGATACTCTTTCTGAACCCAAATGAAAAATTGCTTTAATTTACAATTTCAAAAGCATCTAAAGAGGAAATAGACTAATAATTCCTTTTTTTTCCCTTAGGTATTGCAGATTCCGTTTCTTCTATATTTGTGTGACATGTTGGGCAGATCAAGAGACAGCTACAAAAATGAAGGTTTTCATAATGCAATGTAACATAGTACTTCAAAGTATTATTCAACTTCAAGTTTCAGCAACTACCTACAAAAGATTCTAAGGCCTAGTAGTATTTAAACTAAGTTTCAGAATGTTCCCTTCTTGTAGAGAGATGGACAACCAAAGTCAGTGGGACAAACTCCAGCACAGAAGCCTGCGAGGAAGCCTATGGAATAGTTTCCTGTCCTGAGACGAAATTCAGATTAGGAGATATTTTAGGCCCCTGCAACTGGGGAAGGCTACTGTTTGTTTTTGTTTGCTTATTATTTATTTGTTTGTTTATTGTGAGATATTTCAGGTGGGATCAAAGAGGTCATAAGAATTTATTTTCTTTTGTGGGGTGTAACTACTAGCTTTAGATTACCCCTATACACAAGAATGGCCAACCTAAAATTATGTGTGTCTTGTACAGTTAGTTATATTAGCAGCCCTCTGAGATGGCGTATCTATCGGAAGGATTTCAAACACCAATTGCTTTACCTGAACAAATGGTGCTTACCCTTTGAACAGCAGAGTGACCACGTAGAAGGAAGGAAAAGGGCAAAATCGCTTCAGTTAAACTGAAATTAAATGAACAATAAGGCAACTATATAAGTAACTTCTAGTAGCATTGCCTGAGAGACAAATTATTGTTTGATAATTTTCATTGTGAATAGGAATCCAATAGATCATATTGCTTACTTTGTTCTTTTTATACTATAGAATAATATTTTGTTCTCTAGTATATCAAAATACCAAAATATTATCTCATATTTTCTCCCTCTTTCTCTTACTCTTTACCAAGTTTTCCTGGTGGCTTGGCTTCCCTGACTAAAGAATTAAGTCTCATTTTTACTTTCCATTTCTATTTTCTTACCACTTGGTTGGCTCCCTTTGTCTCTGTACCTTTACCAACATTAGGATCTCACCTCTTTCTTCCTCCCTTAATTCATAAGCACCACTCCTATCAAAGTCCCATCTCTTAACCCTGGGTATCAAACAAACTGTGAGTTTTCCAGAATCTGTTTCCCAGTTTTCCCCTCAGCTTTCCTGGTCTCCCATCCGAACTGCTTCTTTGTGCACCTCTTGTTCTTTCTCTTGGCTCCCAGTCTTGATTCCTGTGATCACTCTTGCATCACTAATTGCACAAGTGATTTCAGGTGCAATTCTGATTAGCCTGCGTCCACACAGTGATCGATGATCCTATGTGCCTAGAAAGGACACTGTGTGCTGCTCATGACCTGCAACAGGAAAAAAGCCATTTCTTGTTAGCAGTGTAAGAACCTTAGAGCAAAGGAGTTGACCTTCTGATTGAATATAAGCACAACCATATTAAATGAATCAATACAAGAAAATTATTTCTGATACTATGTATGTACATATTTCTTCTCTAAAATGTATCATTCTTTTCTAATGTATATGATCTAACAAAAATGAAACATGAAATGCAGTAGCAACCACTAAAAAAAAAAATTCAAGGACATCTAACTTTTTCTCTCACTTTTGCCCTTTGTTTATCCTTCCCTGTGATTAGATAAACAAAATAAAAAACAAAATGCTGTATTTCTCTTCTTACGCCAGTCAGAACCAATCCGAAAAGAATGTGTGTTGACTCAGGTTTGGAGTTATTTCAGGAAGACAGATATTGACCTTTTAATTGATAAATATTCTTATTATCCTGGAATGCCAGAAAAGAACTATGTCCTGCTTGTCTAGTTTGTATTCGCTGACTTTCTATGTGATATAGATGCATTTGTAATACTCTTTTTCAAGTGCTAAAGGATTTCTAAAATTTCAAACTGATTAATATGTTTCTGCTGTTCTGGATTTTGATGACATTTACAATAAAACAACCTACATTTGACTTTGGTTTAAAAAGAACCTCTTCTTAAGTGTATGGCTTACATTTTGTCAACACGGTATTAATGTGCTTTATATTTACAGTTTTCTCAGCTCTAAATTAATATATCCAGCTTTTGGTTTTCTCCATAGGCACTTTAACCTCAGTGTTTCCGAAACTCCATTCGTCATCCTCCCTAACTTCTCCCACCACCCCCAACAAAAATTTCCTTTACCTCTAAGAGCCTCTATTTTGGTTAACAGAATCAACATTATGGAATCACCCAATCAATAAAATTAAGACAAATCCTAAACATTTAAGCAGGTCATCTGCACCTTGGTAACCCATCAATGAATTACCTACCTCCTGTGGCTACTGTCATTTCTTAGTTGCATGTTCTTTAGTGTCATTTATCTCCATTATTCAGTAGCCTACTCATTATTCTCTATGTCCCTTAGTCCAGACCCAAAGTCTGGTGATTCAGATTGATGTTCTTATAGTCCATCTACTGTATTTCCCCTGCATTTACATTTCTCAAAGACGTTATCAGTTTCTCTGTTCACAACCGTTCAAGGGCTCCCAATGCCTTATGATACCATGTGAGCTCTTTTAAGTGAGTTTTCACGAAGAAGCCCCTCTCTACCTTTTCAACCGTGATTGCTGCTGTGCTGCATAGTTTGATCACTCTTATGCTGTGATCCAGCCATAACAAACTACTTGAAGTCAAAGCAACAAAATCCTCACCTAATAATTAGAAGTCATAATGAAAGTCATCAACGTGTTTCTGGATGTGGTTTCACAAAGATCTCAAAGTGAATACTAAATTAGCCCACCTTACAGTGATTTTCTAGCCCATTTAAAAGTTATAAAGTGGGTCATCAGCACTAGAAGCAAGTGTGACTGGGGAGGGTGGGGACTTGCAGTCTAAATTATTTTGATATTTACATGAAGAATGACTGATATATCCTTTGATAAAACTCTTGCAACTTCTAGCTTAGTCACACCAAGAAATATAGGTGTAAAGAACTAAATATAACCATATAGTCTATGATATGGTTTAGCTATGATATGGTTTAGCTGTCTCTTAACCCAAATCTCACCTTGAATTGTAATAATCCCCACATGTCAAGGGCAGGGCCAGGTGGAGATAATTGAATCATGAGGGTGGTTTCTCCCATACTGTTCTCATGGTAGTGAATAAGTCTCACAAGATCTGATGGTTTTATAAATGGGAGTTCCCCTGCACAAGCACTCTTGCCTGCCACCATGTAAGACATGACTTTGCTTCTCCTTTGCTTTCCACCATGATTGTGAAGCCTCCACAACCATGTGGAACTGTGAGTCCATTAAACCTCTTTCCTTTATGACTTACCCAGTCTCAGGTATGTCTTTATTAGCAGCATAACAGCAGACTAATGCAACAGGCTAAGAAGGGAGTTACAGTATTGGCCAGGGTGATTGACCTGGACTATGAAGACGAAATCAGTCTACTACTCCACAATGGAGGTAAGGAAGAGTAGGCATGGAACACAGGAGAACCCTTAGGGTGTCTCTTAGTATTGCCATGCCCTGTGATTAATGTCAATGGGAAACTACAACGGCACAATCCTGGCAGGACTACAAATGGCCCAGATACTTCAGGAATGAAGGTTTGGGTCACTCCAGCAGGTACAAAGCCACAACCTGCTGAGGTGCTTGCTGAAGGCAAAGAGAATAAGGAATGGGGGTAGTGGAATAAGGTAGTCATCAATAGCAGCTTCAGCCATGTGACCAGTTGCAGAAATGAGGACTGTAATTGTCATGAGTATTTCCTCTTTATTTTGTTGAGAACATGTTTGCACATATATATACTTGTACTAAGAAAATATATTCATTTTATTTCCTTTATTTTTCCTTTATCATGTGATGTAAGATTTGTTGACTTCATATCAGCATTTAAGTGTTGTTAACTTTAGGTAATAGCATTTGGATTGGGGATTGGTGCACTTCCAGTTGTACAAAGGATAGCTGTATTGTGTTAGATGTAATTATGACCTTATTATTGGCTTCAGTTGAAGATTATGTGTGATTTCAGGAGATGTGGATGGGTTCAAGTTGACAAAGTTGTGATGGTTAATATTGAGTGCCAACTTGATTGGATTGAAGGATGCAAAGTATTGTTCCTGGATGTGTTTGTGAGGGTGTTTCCAAAGGAGATTAACATTTGAGTCAGTGGACTGGGAGAGGCAGACCCACCCTCAGCCTGGGTGGGCCCTGTCTAATCAGCTGCCAGTGTGAAAGGAGGCATGGAGAGAACAGACCTGCTGAGTCTTCTGGCCTCCATCTTTCTCCCATGCTGGAGGCTTCCTGCCCTGGAATAACAGACTCCAAGTTCTTCAACTTTTGGACTCTTGGACTTATATCAGTGATTTGCCATGGGCTCTGGGGCCTTCGGCCACAGACTGAAGGCTACAATATTGGCTTCCCTCCTTTTGAGGTGTTGGGACTTGGACTGGCTTCCTGGCTTGCAGACCTATTGTGGGACTTCACCTTGTAATTTTGTAAGTCAATACTCTTTAATAAACTCCCCTTCATATATACATCGATCCTGTTAGTTTTGTCCCTTTGGAGAATCCTGACTAATACAGTCTATTAAAATAATGATAAACGTTGACAAATAACATTTACACCAATATTCTAAGGCACTTTGGTGACAGAATATCTATTAACACATGTTTCTCCTGGGAAATAGCAAAGCTTATAAAATAAGTACTTTTATCCCCAGATGGATAGGAAACTAGGCTTCAACTGGTGATAGTACCAGATAGTTAATAAATGGCAGAGCCAGAATTTGCCCTCGAGCTTGTTGATTTCAAAGCTAGTGCCTTTTAGCCACCATGCCATTTGCCTCTGTATTATATCAGCCTAGCCACCATCAGATACTGTGTATACACACATACATGAGCACACAACAGTCATGGAGACAAAAACAATTATATGTAATTCTGAGACAAACTAGATGATATAATCCTTATAAGACCTTATAAGAAAAAACTTGCAAATGAAACCAAAGAATAGTTCAATTCCATCAAGAACTTACTGCTTGCTAGTGATAATCACTCTAGGTCAAGGTTGACATACATTTTAGATTTCTTAAATAATATTATGTACTTCCTCCCATAACAAAAATTTAAGTTTTCCCAATAACCTGGCCAAGCTAGAAAAAGAAGACTAAAACTCATGTCTGATCTAAACTCTTAGCTTAGTTAATGTCTTATTAGAAATGAACTGGGTCACTGTCCAGTCTGTGTACTTTCTTCTGGAAAGCACATCTTCTTTGAGGGGACTGTTCCTTGCTTTTACCTCAGTTCTGCATGCATTAGAGTTCACTCCACCTCCCAGACCACAGGCATGGGAGCTGGGGGAAAGAGAAGCTTTGCCCTGTGTGAGTCTGATGGTGCTGGAAACTGGGACCCAGCCTGAGACAGAAGCTGTTCTACTGCAGGAAAGAATAAAGCCAACACCTACAGAGAAGAGATGAGACAAAAAAGATCTCAGAAGAGTGTTCCAGGAATATAGCACTCCAGGAACTGGACCCAGTCCTTGTGGCATCAGAGTTTTCAGGCTCCTCTTTCAAGGCTTTTTGGACAGTGTTCATTTGAATTCTGCAAGCTAGTAATTCTTCAGTATATCCCCTCTAGACAAACTTCAGATAGATTTCTGTCTTTGGTCATTAAGATTCCTAACAAATACAATCAATATTTCAAAAACAATACAGGGAGAAAGATTAATACTTTATTATTTTAAAAATTTTGTTTGAAAGCCTTTGTACAGAATAATATAATGTACTGCATAAAATATTTGAAATAGATGAAGTTTACAAGTTTATAAAGATGAAACAATGAGATAGTGATTACATTAAGTGGTTACATTAAGTCTCAGGGGAAACTGAATTTTTAATAGGAAAACACCCTATGTACAATGTTACTATTTAAATGTATTCTTTCTCATCTTAATGCTTAGTCTTGTCACAAACAAGAGGTAATCAAATTGTTTCTAGAATTAAATCAGAGCATCGTGGTGCTGAACAATATATGCATACATATATTCAAACTGTATTTATGAAAATCCATAGAAAATAAAAAATAGGCTGTGAAACCAGTATTCTTCATAGATTTTGCAGACGATTTTAATCTGATTCATCACTGCTGAAGTAGGAGCTATCACAGTATTCTGCTGTATATAGAAATTTGTGAATGGTTGGGTTCATCTTCGGTATCCAGTGTCGGGGAATCAGGTATGTTGAAAGATTAAATAAATCTACAAATACCTTGTACCTATCACTGGAAAAACATACATGAAGATGTGTTACATTGGTTGACATGAAATATTTAAATTTTTCAATTAGAAAATTTATTTCTCAGATATTTTCCATAGTTAGTATTCAATATTATAATATATATTGCATGTTGTATATATCATATATTAAATTAGGTATTATGTAGTATTAGTATTGATTGTCTGCTTTTTATTCCATTTTCAAAGTTTATGCCCATAAAACAGTATTATGTGTTTTAGAACAGGGTGTTTCCTATTAAAACCGAGAGTCTTATTGCTGACACCTTCATAAAGATAAAGATGTGTTCTCATTTCCTACTTCTGAAGGATGCTATGCAAGGTAATACATTTAAAGCAAACAGTCTTAGATGCTCATTTGGAAATATTTCCAACTGAAAAGATGCCAAATAACTGCCCTGAAGGGTTTAATAAATTGAAATGCCATCTTAGACTCATAATAAATGTCCATGAAGTAGTTTTAACACTAAAATTGCTTTTGTGTGGTTAGTCAACAATTTTAACTGTTGCAGTTTTATGGAGGAAGAACATTTGCCTTTGAAGTTAAATAAATCTGGGTTCAAATTCTGGTTCTATCACCTACAATTCAAGGACCTTTGACAAGTTGTTTAAACTTCAATGCCCCAGTTTCTAACTCTATAAAATGAAAACTTTAGTCCTTCCTTTTGGTCAGGTCTTTTTAAAACTGAGATAACAACACACTAGAGATGCCATTTGTGTTCATTATTCCCACCACCCACTGATGTGTGTGCTCATTTGGTATAGGCAGTTATCAACTGTTTTGTGCTTACAGAATTCATTTCCAGGGACAGTGAAAATGTCTAAAAATGATGAAAATTTAAACCTGTGTATTTCAGAAACCAACCAATCTGGTAATAACAGTAGGGACGAAAGCAATGTGCTGTAAAGATTTGAGGTGGGGCTAAATGCAAATGTCTAATTTATTCTTGAATTGATTCTTCTTTTTCAAGGGACCACAGAAGTTTTTCAGTTTCCCGATGTATCCATTTGTCCATTTATCTATGATATTGTGAATATCAAAATAAGAATGTACATCCCTTAGAAACCTCTCTAGCATATTTTAAGTCCTCAATAAATGTTGATCTCTTTCCTTGTAAACACTTTAAAAGGGGCACTCTCTGGAGTAGATGGAAATAGTTTTATAATATAAAATAGCCATATCAGAAAACAAGACGCTACTTTAACTGTGTCATTTATCTAGCCAGGAAGACATTAGTAGAATTAATGATAAATGTTTTAGTCTGGTCAAAACTTGAGTCACAATGAGTTGAAGACTTTTCTGCCTGGATGTAAGCACTGTTAAACCCTTTGTGTCCTCACATATCATGCAGCCATTGATACCATATCCCTTTTCATACAGGATCAAAACAGTGAAAGTTCATAATTAAAGATTTTATAAAATTACCACCAAAAGTCTGAACTGGAATATTCTAACTACAAACGTGTTGTTAGTAGTTCAGACAGGAGCAAATAAAATGGCTTTTTTTAGATAGCAAATGTATAGGTGGAGAAACAAATTGTTGGTGACTGCCACCAGGAAGAAAGGAGAATTTCCCCACCTACCTCACAGTTGATCGCAGGTAGTGATAGCCTGAGGAACCACCGGTGCCAGCTTTGCTGCCCAGCATTCTGTGCACCATGCACACATGGTTATCTAGGCAAACATACAAATTTACTCCATGGATATTTTTCCACCATTAGTTCCACAATGTTCTAACAATGAGGGGTTGGTAATGATAATTGCTTCTGAGAAAATGTTGACAACTAACACTTGGCCATATGGAAGGCTCATACATGAGAGCCAGATGAGACTGTGAGGTTGCCTAGCGCTCCACTTGCTTCAGGCTACATGCATTTCACTCCATCCTTCGCTGCATTTAGCCCATGGATACAATAGAAGAGACCAGGATCATAATATGACTCATGAGTCCATGCCACCTTTGCCTTTATGGGGTCCTTCATTTAAAAAAATAAAAAAACTATTAAAATTAAAAATTTAAAACTGCATTGGCATAATGGCAAATAAATTACTCTTATGTAATAAAACTTTTATGACCTAAAGTTTAATTTTTCCTTTAGATTTTAAAATAAAACATTTTCATGAGCCCCCAAAAGTATTGTGGGCCTTAGGTACTGTGCCTAGTGTGTATATGAATAAGTTGGCCCTGGGAGAGAGTGATGGCCAAGCTGATTTGTATAAAAGAATGCACCCACACACAAAGGAGGGGGAAAGAGAGAAAGTGGGCAGGAGGGCACACAGAAGACCAAGATAAAGAGCACAGGAACAGCATGTGGGGAAGCAACATGGGGTGAGTGGGAAGGACTTACATCTCCATTTGGTCATCAGTGAATCTATGTCCATAAGAGAAGTCAGCAACTGAAAAGGCACCTGGAACCTAGGCTCTTCCCTAAAGGAAAAAAAGAAGAAAAAGAAGAATATATTCAAGTAAATCGAGTGTGTTAGGAGGAGCATGAGTTTGACAATCAGTTGGCCCTGGAAACAAATGTCAGCTTTGCCTGTGAGGAGCTGTGGCAGCTTTGGCTTATTCTCTCAGTCTCAGTTTCTCCATCTCAAAGATGAAATAATACTACTCAACTTGCAGTGTTTGTTTGAAGCCTAGAAAAGTCCATGTAATATACATGAAGTAATCACCTAGAGTCACACCTAACATTGGTTCTTATTAAAAGCGAGACAGGTGCACTATTACAGATTTCCCAGCCGAAAATAATCAAACACTTCTAGGCAAAGATATTAAAACACAAAAGGAAAAACCACTTTTTATTTCTTTTCATCTATTTGTTTTTTTGTTTTGTTTTTTTTGTTGTTGTTTTGTTTTGTTTTGTTTTTTTACATCTATTTCTTCACCTTTCTCAGCATATTTTCTAGTTAGGACACATATGCCTAATTGGCATACATTTACTTGAGTTTAGGAAAAAAGTCAAAAGATTTTGTTTATGTTGCCATTTTGAAGAAAGACTTGAGAAGATTTTAAAAATTAAATACACAGAAGCATGACGGCCTGTAAATATAGGTATTTTTTTACTAGTGTGATGTTTATTGTTCTGACACATTTAATTCATGAACCCTGAGGATGGGACCTTCATACAATAGAGTAGGAGTGAGTCAATATTTCAGGAATACTTCAAACTTTTTAGACAATGAAGCTAATTTTACTTGAAATTGCTGAATAAGTGGTACAGTTTGCAAGTTATTTTCACTTCATGCATTTTTTATTTTCTTAAACAGGAATAATCTTAGAGCATTGTTTAATGATAGAACACATTTCATGAGTGAGTCTCTGAGAGAGTAAACTGGCCATTTAGGACACTTAGTGTTACATAGTGCTTTTTAGACGCTTGTAATCCCAGCACTTTGGGAGGCCGAGGCGGGCCGATCACGAGGTCAGGAGATCGAGACCATCCTGGCTAACACGGTGAAACCCCGTCTCTACTAAAAATACAAAAAAATTAGCCTGGCGTGGTGGTGGGCGCCTGTAGTCCCAGCTACTCGGGAGGCTGAGGCAGGAGAGTGGCGTGAACCCGGGAGGCGGAGCTTGCAGTGAGCCGAGATTGCACCACTGCACTCCCGCCTGGGCCACAGAGCGAGACTCCGTCTCAAAAAAAAAAAAAAAAAAAAAGGATATTTGATTAATTTGTGTAGTGTTTAACCCCTTTTAACCCTGTTCAGGGAAAAAGTTATGCCTTTACTATTTAAAAGAAAAAAAAAGGGACGGGGGCATAAAACTTCATTACTAATTATCTTCCAAGTTTTCTACAAAAACTAAATTACTGCATTAAACTATGATTGTAATTTTTAGGCTTTATACTGGACATGTTATCCATATCCACCCCTCAATTTTAACTTCAGTCTCTCTTCGGATTTGCTTTACCTGTAAAAATATATCATCAATGCTCCCTGAAGTGCTCTGTATGACAGCCGTCTTTCACCTGCAAAATACATACTAAATTTAAATTTTTTAGGTCATTTAAGGTAATTTTGTATTAATTTGGCATCGTCATCTTAAAAAATTTAATGGATTACATGTGTTTAGAAATCAATATAAGTTTCAGTTTACATTTTTTATCCCTTAGGTTGAATTTGTAAACATATCACTTAAAATACAATTTTAACATTGGATTTTAAAAAACAAACTAAAAATGTACATATTTTAAATTTTCAAAACCTTCAAATAGCATGTTAGGAAAACCTGATTTTTCTAGAAAACACTTGACTTTCATAATAAAATTCATTTTCCGAGTAAAAGAATATGTGTCTTTCATTTCAAAAAAGTAGTGATGTGTTATAAGCATCATTTCAAAGTAGTTTTCATTAATTCACTTGACATTAGTTAACTTGTTTTTAATGAGCACAATTATGTAAAATCATACATGTGTGCTCTAATGAAAGACTTTCTCCCTGCTGCAGCGAAACAAGATTTTGCTATTCTTTACTGAGATTTGTTTTTTTTAGAAAACAGAAGCTAACAACCTTTAAGCTTATAAAACTTAATACCAATTTCACGTATTGCTATGTTTCGTACTTGTGTTATAAAAGTTAATTTTTACTTTTATTCTGCATATTTCCAAAAAGGTTTGGGATGCGTTACAATAAAAGTTCTAAGTCAAAATGAACGCAAAAGTTTAGAAATGAAAGTACTGATTTTATGGCTCAATAAATTTCAGGAACTAACAGCTCAGTACTAATTGTGCCGAAAGTCTAAATGTATGCTTTTCCTGGTATCTTGGTCAGTCAAGCAGATTTGTATGAAAGAACTCACCCACACACAAAGGAGGGAGGAAGAGAGAAAGAGGGCAGGAACATTCCAAGCCCAGAGAACACATAAAAAGACTCTTTGATGATAAATCCAAATAACTAAACTTAGCTAATAAAAGAAACTTAGTATGGCTGGACCACATGAATATGAGATCATAAAAGGCCTTATAGACCACGTTAAAGATTTTATCTTAATTCTAAAACAATGGGGCGACATCAATACTTGCTCTCACGGTAGCTATTCCTTCCTTTTCTTACCTCTACCATAGTGTTTACTGTTACAATGATTTGTCTTCATTTCTGTCCCTATTAGGCTGTGAACTACTTGAGAAACTATATGCAATTCATCTTGATATCCCGTATATCTGGCAGAGACTATAAATTTTTTTCTAATGTTTTTCAAATAATCTGGGCATGGAAACCCGTTAAAATAGGTTTATCACCAAAAACATTTACTCCATTTTTGTTTCTATCAGTAGAATATCAATTTTCATTCTATTTCTCCCAAGTAAGGCTTGATAGTCTTATAAAATGATGTCTTGATCTCATATTCACACATTCCAGGGAAAAGATTCATAAAGTAAAAATACCTGCCTTTACTAAGGAGATGTTCATGACGTTTCTCATCAAATAAGGACAGTAGCACCTCTTTTTGCTTCTGAAATTCAGCCACCTGTTCCTCTTTTTCTTCAGACTCTTCTTTAGCCTTTAGGAAAAATATGGCATTAATAGTCCTGAGAGAGAATAAGTAGATTGATATTTTAGAAAACTTTGCTTATGAGGAAAAGACTTATGGTTGCAGAAATGATGTACTTTTAATATTTACTGTATCTTCTAATATTACTATTTGGAAATTATGTCTTATGAGAAGGAATCTTCCACATACTCAGTGGTTCTATCCTTTTATTTAAGTTTAAATGATTTCTCAATATTAAATATTATCTTCATAAATATAATGAGCAATGGACTCAGATGGACAAAATTGGAGATAACTACCAGCAGTTAATAATGATATAATTTTAAACAAGAATTAAACACAGGAAGTAAGGTAACTTCACTTAGAAAAAGTTAAGAATTCCTAGTCAGAAGAACTATTAAACCTATTGAAATTCTATGTTCTATATTCAGTGTTGAATTCTGTAAATACAATTTCTTAGATATTTCTCACTCATGTTTTATTCATTTTCTATCTATCTATTGATTGGTTTAAGAAAATTCTTATTTTTCTGCCTACAACACATATTCTGCTTATAAGCCAATTAATTGAGCTGGGGAAAATTATTTAACCCAATTATTTCCAATTCATCAGAACCACCACACTGTGTAGTACTAACCTATATGCATATTATTTCAAATTAATTATTTATTTATTCAATACATGTCATGCTAAGATGATAGAGATAAAATTGTGTGCAAAAATTGAGAGTCGTGATATTATACAGGAATTATCTGGTAGGAATAAGACATTGAACAAATAATAACCCAGTACAGTCATTAAATTACAACCATAGACTATGCTATATGTCATAACTTAAAGTAATAAGGAGTTTAGGAAAGACCTTTCTAAAGAAGTTTTCCTCGAGCCAAGATCTTCAGAGTGGGAAGGAGTTAGTTGGGGAAGAACATTCCAAGCCCAGAGAAGAACACATAAAAGGACTCCTTGGTGATAAATCCAAAGAACTAAACTTAGCTAATAAAGAAACTTAATATGGCTTGACCACATGAATGTGAGATCATAAAGGCCTTATAGACCAGGTTAATTTTATCTTAATTTTAAAAACAATGAGGTAACATCAAAAGGCTTTACACAAAAGGGAGATGTGATCAGATTTGCCTTCTGAAAAGATTATTCAGACTGCAATGTGGAGACTAAATTGGAATAGAGGCATACTGGGAAGGTGGGGGAGCACAGTTCAGATATTATTATAGTCCAGGTGAAAAACGATGGAGGGTTGCACTTGAGTGGTAGTGGTAGATTAAAGGATGATATTTGAGAGCTAATAGGTAACATTGGTAGGACTTGATGATAGCTTGAAGAAGTGGTGAAACAAGAGGGCGGAGCCAAGGATCACTGATTGATAAGAGTCTGACGACAGCCTAGATGGATTATAGGAGAAAAAATTCTTTAATGCAGAGAAGACAATGTTGGTACAAGAGTGGATGGAAGGGGAAATGTTCAAGTTTGGTTTTATTGGTGTGTTTTTGAGAGGACCAGGAGGAAATATCAAGTAAGGTATTATATACATGTTCTGAAATCTAAGGGGATATATAAACCAGAGATAAATGTTTGAGAATTATGGTGGCTAAGTAGATATTGAAGCAGTGGGTATAAATGACACCATCTAATGAAAGAGTATAGAGATAGAACAGAAAGGATCTAAGCCAATGGACTACAAAACTCTACCATTTATTGGTCTGAGAGAGAAATAAGAGCAAGTAAAAGAGATAGAGAAATAAGGGCCAGAGAATTAGAAGCAAACATAATGGTATATACTAAATCCAAGAGAAAAGAATGTTCAAGAAAGAATAAGTAGTAGTCATTAGTATTGAATGTTTCTGCGAGGTCAACTAAGTTAAGATTAAAAATGGCCATTGGATTTATGTACATGAAGGCCACATGAGAATGATGGTACAGGAAGACAGCTTGAAGTAAGCTCAGGATTAGCTGAGAGATAACTATTCTGACTTCTGCTTTCAATGCTTTACAAGTATTTATTTAATTTCCTGTTCATAATAATCTTATGAGTTAGATATTCTTATTTTTCTATTTTGCCAATGCTGAAAGATAGGCTAAGAGAGGTGCAGTCACTTGTTCTCTGTCACATAGTTGTTTAAGAAGTGGAAGTGGAAATGGAACCCAAGTAGCATGACTTCAAAGTCTATGCTTTCAGCACTACCTGATGCAACCTCTCAAGATGTAGAATTTAAACAAGTCTTCCAGGAAATTTAGTCATGCCAAGAGGATGAGAGACCTGAAAGATAAGGGCAATGAGCAATCAACAGTATCTTTTAAGTAGGAGAAAACTGACATTGTCTGAGAGCTGCCAGAAAGCACCCAGTAAATATACAAGAGCAAAAGCAAAGCTACAGGGCTAAATAGATTTGGTTCGTTAGTCCACTGTGGGCCTAGTTCTGTCTAAAATTGGTTCTAATATAGAATTTTCAATAGAAATGAAAAATAATATTAATCTCAGCTAGTTATCATAGACAAAATTCTCCCGTGCAATGAAGGTCTTATTTTAGTATAATATTTATCACACATAAAGAAAATGAAATCAATCATGTCACATAGTCCAAGAAAATACATTTGTCTAAGAAAAAAATATGAGAAAGAGAAAAGGTTAAGAGAAAAGCAAAAAATAATTAAAATAAAATTTTGAATATTTCTGTATTGAATTTATATTAACTCATGTCATCTAAATACCTGAATCCTTATGAATTCCTCTTCCAGGCCTCTGGTGATATTTTTTTCAAGCTTTCCCCAGAAGTTAAATCCATGTGGCTCTAAACCTGGAGTTCTTTCCAGCCATGCCTTAAATAAACATTATTTTTTAAGTGAGTACATGGTAAAATTATGTAAAATGCATTGTAACCGACATGTATAAACTTAAAACAAGAAATCTTCATGGTTTCCAGAAACATATGCTACAAGTTTTATTTGTAAATGTTTTTTATTTCTCTTCAATTTCTTCATTTATGAAATAATTAATATATTCAATTTTCTTAATTTTTATGGCAATGGTTAATAATGTTTACTCTTTATTTCTTAAGAAATATGTGATTACAGAAATTCCAATTGTCTTCTAGAAATCTACAAACATATTTAAACATATGTTCTATCTAAACATATTTAAAGAGTATATTCTTAATAATTATTTTACTAATATATTCTGGTTTATTCTCAAGTTACTTTATGTCATAGGAGCTTAAGAAATTACGATATGTATAAGATACGATCTCTTCTAAATTCATGGGCACTGTATACTTAGCAACTTTGAAATTAACCATCCATGCAATTACTTTGAGATTTTAAAATGTTTTTAAATCTAGAAATAAAACTAAATTCATGTACCTCTGTGAGTTCTCATTTAACCTATACTTATTATAATTCTGAAATTAGCTTTGTAATTCTTTTTCTCCCTATTCTTATCTGCCATTATTTGGCATTATATATAATACATTAACCTAAATCCACATTTACAATACCCAGAGGATTAATGAGCAGAGTATAATTCAACACAAGAAAAGTTAATTTGCAGAAGAAAAGGCTTTGTAATGGAAAGCAAGACAATACAATCTTTGTTTAATAATCTATTTTGAAGAAAAAATTAATAATTCCTAAAGGCTACTTACAGACCTTTAGGGAATTTGGATATGAAGGGAACATTTTCTGAGGTGTATATTCTTAGTAATTTAGTTCAGCTAAGAAAAATACTAAATAACTGGAAATTTTCAATTACAGAATATTTTAAAACAATAAAGCTCACTAAATAATCACACTCAGTCTAAAAATCAGCTAATTAAGTGTTACTTAGAAGGGATATTTAAGGAATTGTTTTATTGAGATGATAAGGTTATTAAATATTAGCATACAATTGATTACATAAGTATTTCCGAAGTTCTCAGCAGGGTTCTTGACATTTTCAATATTTTAGTAACATGAATTTACAAATTCATGTATTTTTATGAATTCTTTCTATCCTTATTTCCACTGAATGTAACTCAGTTTCGATATACGTTTTTAAAATTCTGATTTAGCAAAAGCTAAATTAAGAAGATGTATTGAGTTAAACTTTATAAATTGTATGAATCCATACCTCCACTAATTCCAGAAGTGTCTTTTCCTGCTCAGATTTAAGTAGCAGTTCATTTTCTTCTCCTTTGAAGTTATCACGATAATGTCTTCTGTTATAAGGGACTCTCATGTTCTGAAGAACACCTATCTTGTTTTCTAATAGTCGGAATTGCAAACTCTGGAAGCCTGATGCTGGAGATAAGTACTCTCTTTGAGATTAAATGGTGGAAGGAAAGGCAAGGGAAGGGAAAGAGAGGAGAGGAGAAGAGCAGAGAAGAGAAAGGGGGGGGAGGGGAGAGGGGAGGGGAGAGGGGAGGGGAGGGGAGGGGAGAGGGGAGGGGAGGGGAGGGGAGGGGAGAGGAGTCCAGAGGAGAGGAGAGGAGAAGAGAGGAGAGGAGAGGAGAGAAGAGAAGAGCTGACATTATCAACCACCATAATGGTTTCTTCTATTGTAAGAGATTGTAGAGACTGTCAGTTTTACTCTTGGATATCAAGAGCAGATACACACAACTGTCTAGAGTTAGACCTGTGATTTGACTCACTGAAATCAGAAAAATGAGCTACTTAAATATCATCGGATATCAAAAATGTTATTACTCCCACTCCCCATATTATATCTTTGTGAATGTCTTTCATTTCACTGCTGCTAAGACTTTAACGTTTTAAATTCACCACAAATTCTACTTTTCCTTTGTCAGACATGTTCAGGACATGCATGTTACATCCTACACCCAATGGAAGTTTCTTAAACTTTTTTCTTCTCACATTTTGGTAAGAAAAAAGCTATCTATATGGTATTGCCTTGAAATGTACAGGTAAAATTTATGGTTTAATCCATAACTTCTACTTTGATTGACATGCTTCTGTATATATCGCTCCTGTTTTGAGTTTTTATATCTTTTAAATTTAATTACATGTATTTTATTAGCTATTTTAGTCAATGTGCTAAGTTGTCTAAAATTCTTTTTGGAGAAAAACAGAACACACAGTGATGAATTTAAATCAATTGATCATATTACGCTTACATGTAAAAATGAATAATAAAATATTTTTAATAACTTCTCAAATGCTTTGTGATCGAAGACCCCTAAGTCCATATAGTGACAAAATGTTAGTAAGACAGGCTCCTCATGGCACAAAACACACACATGCTGCTTTTACCCCACCAAAATGAGAAAGTAAATTCCATCACATTTTTTAAAATGCCAAATGTGCACACCTGAAGTCATTGAAGTCCAAGGCTGTCATCGTCTCCAGAATGGAAAACTGCTGCACCAGCAGTTTCAGGATCACTGACACTCGGTGCATCCGAGAAACAACCTTAAGCATGTTCCTTTCATCTCTGACCTGAAGGTTAAGAAATGAAACACTGAGTTAGCAATGCTGACCTCTAGAAAATACAAAATAGACAATGGCAATGAATTCCCATTAATTTTGTCTCTAATTTGGTTTTAAAGGGAAACTTTGAAACTAAAATTTGCAAAGAGTATATAACAGTTCTGAATTGTGGGCAAGGAATTTCTGCAAAATAAGAAATTTTTTCTTTCTTTGACAATAGAAAATTATATAGAAGCATAGCAGAAGTAAATTCTAGAATACAACCCCCCACTGATTTCAAAACAAGTTTCTCTTTTAGTTTTGTTTCAAAGAACAGAGGTCAAGATAACACAGGAACTTCTGAGTGAGGGTTAAACAACATGTGGATCAATCTACTCTTTACTGAGGGCCAAAGTTGCCACTGACACAAATGGGAAGTGGATTCATGCAGGCAGGAAGGGTCCCATCTGTATGGGTCCCATGTGCTCTGTCTCCTAGCCCTTCTTGGAGCAGGGGCTCAGAGGTAGAGGACCCAAGGAAGGATCCTCAGAGCCATGGCAAGAGAAAGCAGGGTGGGAGATGGAGAAGTGCACCTCAAGCTCCTGCCGTCACTGGAAGCTTTCCCTCCTCTCCTCTCACTCTTTGTCCTCCTGTCCTTTTCTTCCCCATTGCCCCATTCCCCTTTTCCCCCTTTTCTTCCTCTTTTTCTTCCTCCCACCACTCTTTCTCTACTGCCTCCTTCTCTTCCTTTTTCACTTTCTTTATTATTGCTCCCATCTTCCTGCAGCTAATATTCAGTAGAAATACAATTCTGGTACCTGTTAATTAAAGGATCCCCATTAGCTTGGTAATCCACCATCATTTATAACATCTTTGTGGGTGGAAATGAGTTCTAAACAAGGGACTTGAAACTGAAATTTGAAAGGAACCTTAAAGTCACATGTAATTTCAAAATAGCAATGGAAAAATATGACTGAACTCCTCATTCATTCATAAAATGTCTGTTTGTTCTATCATTAAAAGTTAAGACCACCATTTGGTGTTAATGTTTTTCTCTCATTAATAATACTTTCCATATCTTCCAAAAATATACATGAAACCAATATTGTGACATAAGAACTTACATGGCCATTCTGAAAGATCTCTCGAACAGAATCCAACTCCCAGAGGATTTGCTTAAACCAGAGTTCATAAGCTGTAATAAGGAAATCATTGTCAGTTGGAAAGTTATGGGAGCCTTTTTGGCCATTATTATATGAAAGATATGTTTAACATGTTGAAAGAGAAATTAAAATGTTACCTTAAAATCAATAAATGTAAATATAGTCCCATTGTGTGCCAGAAATAAATGTTAGTGTTAAAGTTGTAATAGCCTCCTTTTATTAAATGTTTTAATATGCTAGACATGTTACCTAATGCTTCATATTCATTATTATTACACTAATTCCTCTCAACAAATGCATTTTTAGGTCTTTGAGGATATAGCACATAACCTAATTCTAGCTTCCTCTATGGAAGCTGGAAGTATGTGGGGAAGCAGAAGTGATAATCAACTTCATCTACACACTGAGAAATTAATATTTCCTAACCTAAATGAAAGACTGTAGGATTTTAAGAACTTGAAAATACAAAGCTAAGTTACTTAAAATGCAGCATTTTGTCTGTTTGTTTTATTTGTGAAAATCCTAGCAACTCATAGACTTAGCACATATGGGAAAGCGGCCAGATGTTTGTGGTCAAAGGAAAATGGCAAAGCTTCATATTACTGTAACAGCTAATTCCCGGGGGAACTTTGTGGCAATTGAGTTCACATTATCCAGTAGATCATCTTTCAGAATTTCCATGAGTCCAAGGTTTATTTGTTCAAACCTGAATACTGCCAAAGCTTTTCTGTCGAAGGATTAAGTTTGTTCTCCCCTTTTACTACGGGCTGTCAAACAGTAACATTGGCATTAAAGAAAAGTGATACAGTAATGACATGTTGGAAGAAGCATAGTTGGAATCAATCTATCTGAAGTGACGGGCTGTGTCAATTGGGGCAAAACCATTTTCTTTAACTTCAGTTGATTCATTTGCAAAATGATCAGTTACCCACCTACAATTGGAAACCTATGATTCAAAACCTTAAGACTTACAGCAGTATGGTAGACATGGATAGACATTTTGACTCCTTTGTGTTGCTAGATGATTCATAGCAAATATAAATGGTTCTCCCCGTTGATTTGTCCTTCCCATAGTATTCTTTGTCACTAGAAACTAAGGACTTACTCATACTCATCCATTTTTCTTCATTACCTAGCACAGTGTCAGGCATAAAGTAAATATTGGGTGATTATTTTTATTTTTATGAATAAATTAAATAGACAATGTAATAATTAGATGACACAGGAAGTCAATAATCTTAGAGATCTTCAGTGCATCCTATTTGGTTCAATCATATGGATAAAGGCAATGTTTCCATACTAATTAAGAGAATCCAATTATAACTCTAAGTTATGTTTAAAAAGACTTTGGGGGACCTAATTTTTATATTTGAGCAAAGAACAATCAAACATTTATTGATCAGTTTATGTATATCTTTTTTAACCCTATGTAACCACTGCCTACATGTTATAACTAAAGAATAGAAGAAAAGTGTTTTTATAAAATAATGATAGCTACCATTTGTTGCATGTTTATTATGTGCTATACCTCGGGCTAAATGCTTGATGCACATTATCTTATTTATCTTCCTAGGAACTCTGTAAGTGAGAGCATCAGTAATTCTCTCCATTTTACGTATGGGGAAATGGAGGTCCTGAGATCTAAGCAACTTGACCAGAGTCACACAATTTATAACAGTAGAACTGAGATACTAAACAATTTTTAAATTCCTAATTTATGCTACCATACCATGATTCTTCTCCTATTGATATTGCCTCGGTATAAGCCACCCATAAAAGTATAAACATAAAAACAGGAGAACTGACACATTAAGCCAGTTTTTTAACTTTTAATTTCTTTACCAGAGTTTATTAATTTACTCAATCACATTGGAAAGCATCCATTTGAGGAAAGAACACAAAGAATTGGTAAGGCAGGGAAACACATCTAGATGTGGGGCACTGGCAGGCAACAGTGATTGGGCTCCAGTCATTAAGAGGTCAGTATAGTGGTACTGAAAAGCTTAAAGTAAATGTTACTAATATTTTGGGGTCACAGACCTCTTTAAGATAATATTCATGAAAATTTGTGCATAATTTTGGAGTTCAGGGACCTTCTAAACTTCTGAAGTCATGAACACATAGGCTAAAAAAAAACCCACTGCCCAGAAATCATTATAGAAATCTGGAAAGGATAAACATACATTTTTGGACACAATTTACATTTGTCTTTATTACTAGATTTGTATAGGATTATGTCAATCCAGCATAAATTTCAATGATCTTGAAAATAGTTTTTTAGTGTTCCGAAGTGAGAAACGTAACATCTTCACTTGTGAATTCCTAGTGAAATTCCAAGAGGCAGAAAGTCCCCTTGGAGTTAAGAACAAAGCTAAAGTCCTACTTCACCTATTAGCAGAGGAGTAACATAAAGAAGACTATTGAAATCCTTATATCAGTCCTATGAGAATTCATCTGGCAGCAAAATATTCTCAAACATTTCTAACAGAGGTGATTCCATGATCTTTCATCATTTTGTAGTTTAAAAATTGTAGCTTTCCTCGTTATCAATGAGAAATGCCTGTGGAATATTGTCCAAAACCTTTGTGCAACTTACCTTGATGAGTTATGATAAAAAGATGTTCATCATGGATTTTATTTCCTTTTGTTTCACTTTGCAGTTCTTGTGCATTCAAAACTTTTTCCAACTTGAAATGAAAAATAAAAAGCCTGTCTGAAATTGCAGAACTTGGTTTTTATGAACTTTAGTAAGAAGTAGAATATGATAATGACAAATGCTCCTCCAAACTCAAAATTCTCAGAAACCAATCTAGTTTCTTTTAAACAATGGACGAATCTCATCATAAAGAGTGAATTGAATTTGTGATTTTTATTCTTCTCAGAAAATTTCTATTTGGTAGGATTTTATCATAATAAATCCTATTAAGCTCTTTGAGACATCATATCCCTTTTCATGAAATGAATATGATGAAAACTTGAAAACTTGCTGAGCTGACTATGCATTTGGCATTCTTTTATTCCCCTAAAGAGCCTATTCTAAGAATATTTTAACATTCTTTATCAGTTAATCCTTAGAAACTCACCGATGAAGACATCAAGGACTAATCATTTTGCCTCTTAAAAAAAATAGAAGACAAACAGGCTGAAACTTGGCCCAGAATAATCTCCCAATACCTCATTCATTAACATCCCTCTTTATATGTTAATGATTTTAAGAAAATTCTCTGTGTGCCTTTTACATTTCGACTTCATGATAAGAGATTTAAAGGAGAACTTTTTCAAGATACATTTGCAGTTATCTAGGCTGACATTTATTAACCATGTCTTATCTATACAAGTTGCACAATGCCTGTGAATTATCCACAGTGTATCTTATCATGTATACGCCTCCCAGATTCTGGATTCTCTGCTCTTACTTCCACTGGAGATATGAATTTTATCCTATAAGTCTCTTGAATTATTCTAACAAAAGTTGAAAACGTAAAAGTGTTTATGAATAAAAATATCCTTAGGTCCAGAAAACGATTGGTGACTTTCCCTAATTCCAAGAAATAAAATCATAAAAAGTCACTTGGCAGAATTGAGTGCCTAACAATGGACACCAAACCCTGTAAGGACCCTGCCACTTACATGCAGGTAGTTCCCATAGATAAGACCTCCTTTGCTGGCTCTATTCACACCAGTTTGTGATTTGTCTTCTTCGCTGCCTTCTACGGGGAGTTTTTTAAAAGTATATCTGCAAATTTAATAAATCAAGAGGGAAAAATAGTGCTTTAGAAAACACAGTTAACTAATGATATGGGTGATTAAAATTCTCATTGCAAATTTTCTTTAGAGTAGATTGTTAGACAAAGGAATAAAGGTGACAGTTTTCAATGCTCCTTAAATTCAGAAATTAAAATGCTCACACCTGATACTTCTAAAAGCCAAAACCCACTTAGAATAAAGGTAAATACTCACCCAAAGTTGTTTCCTAAAAATGGGCACCCACTCATGGTGAAAAGGCACTGTCTGAGAAGCACGGAGGTTTGACTCTAGGCAGATGCTATCATTGACCTTCCCAGATGTTCTACAGCTGCCTTTTATGTAGCCTGCTTACCCTGCATCAGCCAATCAGCATGCTTCTTGTACTCTTAGCTAACTTCTCATTTCCATTGGTACAGAACTGAACCTCTGTAAACTTTAGAGTGGATTTATGTTGGGCACAGTTCATTTGCTAAGAGTGAGTGATCTGCCAAATTGAGTTGTATGACTTGCCAAGTTCTGCTTTTATATTCAAAGTAACAAACATCCAATGAATCAACAGAGGCCAAGTTAAAAAAATTACATTTATTCAATCCCAAGAAAACATTTGGCATAGTATTAGGATACATAAGATGATGAGCTTGTAAAAAACAAATATGTATTCTCTCAAATTTGAATATTCTTACAGCTTCTAGACCAAAAACTGAAATTTAACACCTCTAGGGAAATTAACTGTATAATAAAGTCTGGGTACATGCTCAAAGCCCACTTCCATTCAATCATCAGAGTTCTTCTGACCTAAATATCATGTAATAATCAGCAGCAGTTAAGCTCTCAACACATTGTATTGGAATTTAAATGAACATTATCAGTTTACTATTCATCTGTGGCATACCAATGACAGGGTAGCTAGCAGTCATCCACATTAGCATACATTGCCTATATAGAATTTTAAAACAGTAGTTCAAGACCAGCCTGGCCAACGTAGCGAAACTCTATCTCTACTAAAACTACAAAAAAATTAGCCAGGCAAGGTGGTGCGTGCCTGTAGTCCCAGCTACTAGGGAGGCTGAGGCAGGAGACTCGCTTGAACCCAGGAGGTGGAGGTTGCAGTGAGCCAAGATTGTGCCATGGCACTCCAGCTTGGGCAACAGAGTGAGACTTTGTCTCAAAACAAAAACAAAACAACAACAACAACAACAACAAGAACCAATAATAGCCATGTGCCCATAATTCTATACAGTGTCAGTGATAAAAATATTCTTCCTTGAAACATCATTTATTAATCTAAGCTCTAAACAATTGCCCCAAGAACAATTAAGCCAGGATAGAAGCTTCATGGCCTTATCCTTAGCATGCCACTGCTACTCACTAAGAACTATAGGCAGAAACAGCACTTAGCCTTTATTTAATCATCTACCATGATGGAATTTTGTCTAATTAGCCAAAGTCATTGGAAGTCAGAAACCTGATTTCTAGTCTTGGCTCTACGACTACCTTGTAATATGAGAAAAACTGACTGAATTTCTGTACATATCAATTTCCTCACCAAAATAGAAAGTGTTTAAGCTGATTATAATCTTCAAGATCCTGACCCAGGTTAAAATCTTGATTTTATTACTGAATAATAAATTATATATCTAGTACAGAAAGATAAACAACATGCAAATGCCATGTTATAATTGAACTTGAAAATCATCAAAACTATATGCTATACCTGTCACATTTCCCTTGAGTTTTTATGAATGATCCTGGAAATTGCCTACACACTGGATAGGGACCTTACCTGAGAGAGCGGTGGAGTCACTGTTGCTTTTCCTGGTGTCCTGGCTTAGAGTGTTTGGAAGCAGAGAACAGTTAACAGCCCCTCTTTCTCTACATAGTTGTTCAACTGGGTACGTGTTTACAGAGAATAATGCTAAATAATTTATTCCACTCTCTTTAAGCCTTTTGAGCTGAGAAGTTTCCTTCACTTATTGGTCAACATACTAGTAAAACAAATAAGGAAACAAATTTTCCTATGAATTGGAAAAAATAGATATTTTAGAAACAAAAAATTTTTTAAAGAAATGACATTTCACTCTTAAGTAGTAGTATCAATTCAATATTTGCTTTTACATCACAAGAACTGATCATTGAAAGACTTGACTTTGGGGCATCAGAGAAACTGCAAGCTAATCTAAAAATAACTTATTTTCTTCATCCAGGAGAGTAACTACAGTGGAAGGCCCCCATACACACACATCCTCATTATTTTTTGCAATAGCATTATCAAATGTATTACTAGTTATATTCTGGTCATCATTTGCCAATACTTAAATTTTGCCACTTCGAACCCAATTTGTCCATCTGATGATAATCTAATTAGGAAACTTTTATTTATAATCACATTTAGAATTTATTTCTTATTTTTATTTTTATTTTTATTTTTATTTTTAGAGATGGGGTTTCACTATGTTGACCAGGCTGGTCTTGAACTTCTGGCCTCAAGCAATCCACCCATCCCAGCCTCCCAAAATGCTGGAATTACAGGCATGAGCCACTGCTCCTAGGCTCAGATTTAGAATTTCTATGACTATAGTATCTACAGCTCCCTATTTATTTATATATTGAATATTTTACACAGACTTTCTGGAAATATACTTTAACTCAAATAATACAATGTAATAGAACCTCAGACATTTAACAGATCAAGAGAGGAGATTCTACGGGTACAGGCAATGATCTGCAGTAACCTTCTAAACCCACTCTATTTCCATATGCACATAATTCTGTGCACACATGGCTTAGAGAAGGAAGATGCTGGAGGCAACACTGGTAGATGAGCATGTTTAAGAAGATGCAAATCGTAACTAATTCTGGGCCTAAAAGTTACCCTAGAAACCATCTAATCTATATTCAGAAGTAAAAATACTAGAAAGCTAAGAGATATAGCAACTTTCTTTTTCAGACATGTAGTAAAAGAATATGAAAATCAGATATAAAGCATTATAACAAAAATCTTTGTCTCTAGGTCTTTCCTCTTGATTTCTAAGGTTAGGGTGCAGAAAAGAGTGAGCCTGCGAGGGTAGAGCAATGAGAATTAGCAGGAACTTGCATTGAGCTAAACTCTGAACGTGAATAGGAGTTTATAAAGATCATCCCTTCAGCCATCACAATATTTCTTTCTACAAAGCACCACATGTGCTCTTCCATAAGATGTTAACTTTTCTTTTTCCATCTACCCTTCACAGCTTAAAACTGCTGCAACATCTTCCTGTCTGCCAATGCAATTTCCCACTCTTTTCCTTACTCAACAGTGGTAGATTGTGGCAGACACAGAAATGCTGACTCAGTAGGGGAATTCTGAAAGGATTCTGCACCCTTCTTCAAATAGCCCAGAGCAACCCACAGTTGCTCCTGACATTGACCTCAATAATTTATTTATGGCTCTTTTCCTGTCTCAACTTCCTTAGTCCCTCACTACTTTCTGGGAACATCTCCCAGATAAATCCCCATCCCCCAAATCCTTATCTCGGGCTCAGACTTTCTTATGCAGAAGCCAATCTAATACATACAGCTCTTGTTCATCAGGAGCTATAATATATTTAGGAATTGAATAATTACTTTTTTTAACAGATTTTTTCCTTTCTAAGCCAAGAAGCATCTGTAAACATAGCAGCCATTCAATAAACTTTAGTTGACAAGATAAATTGCCATTTGGGCTGTGAAGTAGCTTTTTTCTTGTCCTTGTTTTGTTGTTCTAACGTTTTCTTTGATTCCCATAGATGGGAGTCTGAACGGAATTAAAATTCCTTAGCTAGGATTTAAATTTAGTCACACACTTAGGAGGTTTTCAAAGTCTCTTTGATAAAACTCAGAAACAGCCATCAACAACTAACGTTTGCTCAGTTGTAATTATGGCAGGCTTGAGAAAAAGCAGAAAACAAACTTAGGGCACCAATTTCAAGGGAAGAAATTATGGACCAGTGAAAGGACTACTTCATTTATCTCTGTGGATTTAGGATGACTGGTTTTCAAGGGAAAAATAAATGACATTCTTGGAAGATGTATGTAGATAAGGTTACACTAAACACTCTTACAGTTAAGGAAACTGGCCTGCCTCTCACATGGAACACATCACAAAGGAACCAGGAACCAGGAGACCCTTTCTCATCCTGGGCTTTGGAGAAATGCCTACAGATAAATTTTATTTCTTTATTTATTAAAAATCATTAACATTTTAATAAAAATAATTCCAATGAGATTCTAAATAAGTTCCAGCAATTTCAGACATGAGGTTATGAAAACTATTTTTTGGCCATATTTTGGTATATAAACACGTTAACATTCATTTTTTCCTAGTTCAACATGATATATTATCATTGAAAATTTGAAAAGAAATGCTTTTCTTTATATAATTTAATAGTATTTTTAAAAGCAAGTGTTCTATTTGTAAATAAGAAGAGGTTACCAACTATTTTAATAGTATAAATTATATTAAATAAACTTTATAATACAATCATAATGTATTATATAATTTTTTAAAAGTACTAAGTAGCATATTTTATTATCAACTACATAAAAAACATTAAAATGATTTTAAAAGTTTAGGTATTATAAAAAAATTATTTAAAGTTTAGGTATTATTCTCATAATATACAGTTTGAACCATATGAAATTGATGCTTTTGTAGGTTGGAATGGTTAAATAGCAATAATTTTATAGAATTCATATTATTACTATTAAAGTAAATACTAAATACTAAAAATACTATTAAAGGTAGTTCACAAGTCAGAAAAAATTGCAAAATAGAAACATCTGTTCTTTAAAAGGGAAGGGTGTTGCGGGAAGTCAGGGAACCCAAATGGAGGGACCAGCTGGAGCTGCAGCAGAGGAACATAAATTGTGAAGATTTCATTTTAATAAGGACATTTATCAGTTCCCAAATAATACTTTTATAATTTCTTACACCTGTCTTTACTTTAATCTTTTATCCTGTTATCTTCCTAAGCTGAGGAGATACGTCACCTCAGGACCTCTGTGATAATTGTGTTAACTGTACAAATTGATTGTAAAACGTGTGTTTGAACAATATGAAATCAGTGCACCTTGAAAAACAACAGAATAACAGCAATTTTTAGGGAACAAGGGAAGACAACCATAAGGTCTGACTACCTGTGGGGTCAGGCAAAAAGAGCCACATTTTTCTTCTTGCAGAGAGCCCATAAAGGGACATGCAAGTAGGGAAGATATCACTAAATTATTTTCCTAGCAAGGAATATTAATATTAGTATTAATACCCTGGGAAAGGAATGCATTCGTGGGGGGAGATCTATAAACAGCTGTTCTGGGAATGTCTGTCTTATGTGGTTGAGATAAGGACTGAGATACACCCTGGTCTCCAGTACCCTCAGGCTTACTAGAGTGGGGAAAACTCCGCCCTGGTAAATTTGTGGTCAGACTGGTTCTGTGCTCTTGAACCCTGCTTTCTGTTGTTTAAGATGTTTATCAAGACAATATGTGCACCACTGAACATAGACTTTATCAGTAGTTCTGCTTTTTCCCTTTGCCTTGTGATCTTTGTTGGACCCTTACCAGTAGTTCTGCTTTTGCCCTTTGTCCTGTTCCCTCAGAAGCATGTGATCTTTGTTAGACCCTTAGTAGTAGTTCTGCCTTTTGCCCTTTGAAGCATGTGATCTTTGTACCTACTCCCTGTTCTTATACCCCCTCCCCATTTAAAACCTTTAATAAAAACTTGCTGGTTTTGAGCCTCAGGTGGGCATCATGGTCCTACTGATATGTGATGCCACCCCCAGCTGCCCAGTTGTAAAATTCCTCTCTTTATACTGTCTCTCTTTATTTCTCAGCTGGCCGACACTTATGGAAAATAGACAGAACCTACGTTGAAATATTGGGGGTGGGTTCCCCCGATAGAAGGGGGAAGCAGATTCTGATGCTAGCATGTTACATTGATTTCTTTAAATGATCAACAAAATCTGCATACTACCCAAACTTATTAGCAGAAAACTCAAGAGTTCACACATTTACAGCAGACTGTATAATTTTCAGATCTCATTTCCCATGACTTCCCACACAAACACCTAGTGATAAATCTAGAGCATAGGAACTAAGTCCTGAAATCTTTAAATTTTCCATGCTTACAGTGACCTCTCCACCTCTCCACCTCTTGAACTCTCACTCATTCTTTAAGAAACATTTCAGGCCGGGCGCAGTGGCTCACGCCTGTAATCCCAGCACTTTGGGAGGCCGAGGCGGGTGGATCATGAGGTCAGGAGATCGAGACCATCCTGGCTAACAAGGTGAAACCCCGTCTCTACTAAAAATACAAAAAATTAGCCGGGCGCAGTGGCGGGCGCCTGTAGTCCCAGCTACTCGGGAGGCTGAGGCAGGAGAATGGCGTGAACCTGGGAAGCGGAGCTTGCAGTGAGCCGAGATTGCGCCACTGCAGTCCGCAGTCCGGCCTGGGCGACAGAGCGAGACTCCGTCTCAAAAAAAAAAAAAAAAAAGAAACATTTCAAATAGACTTCTTCTGGGATGCTTTCCATGATATCCTCAAAAAGGAAAATTTCTTCCTCCTTGGTGGTTCAACAAGACTTTGTTCTTTTTTTTATTATTTTACTTTAAGTTCTAGGGTACATGTGCACACCATGCAGGTTTGTTACATATGTATACATGTGCCATGTTGGTGTGCTGCACCCATTAACTCGTCATTTACATTAGGTATATCTCCTAATGCTATCCCTCCCCACTCCCCCCACCCCATGACAGGCTCCTGTGTGTGATGTTCCTCTTCTTGTGTCCAAGTGGTCTCATTGTTCAATTACCACCTATGAGTGAGAACATGCAGTGTTTGGTTTTTTGTCCTTGTGATCATTTGTTGAGAATGATGGTTTCCAGCTTCATCCATGTCCCTACAAAGGACATGAACTCATCATTTTTTATGGCTGCATAGTATTCCATGGTGTATATGTGCCACATTTTCTTAATACAGTATATCATTGATGGACATTTAAGTTGGTTCCAAGTCTTTGCTATTGTGAATAGTGCTGCAATAAACATATGTGTGCATGTGTCTTTATAGTAGCATGATTTATAATCCTTTGGGTATATACCCAGTAATGGGATTGCTGGGTCAAATGGTATTTCTAGTTCTAGATCCTTGAGGAATCGCCACACCGTCTTCCACAATGGTTGAACTAGTTTGCAGTCCCACCAACAGTGTAAAAGTGTTCCTATTTCTCCACATCCTCTCCAGCACCTGTTGTTTCCTGACTTTTTAATGATCGCCATTCTAACTGGTGTGAGATGGCATCTCATTGTGATTTTGATTTGCATTTCTCTGATGGCCAGTGATGATGAGCATTTTTTCATGTGTCTGTTGGCTGTATAAATGACTTCTTTTGAGAAGTGTCTGTTCATCTACTTTGCCCACTTTTGATGGGTTTGTTTGTTTTTTTCTTATAAATTTGTTTGAGTTCTTTGTAGATTCTGGGTATTAGCCCTTTGACACATGAGTAGATTGCAAAAATTTTCTCCCATTCTGTAGGTTGTCTGTTCACTCTGATGGTAGTTTCTTTTGCTGTGCAGAAGCTCTTTAGTTTAATTAGATCCCATTTGACAATTTTGGCTTCTGTTGCCATTGCTTTTGGTGTTTTAGACATGAAGTCCTTGCCCATGCCTATGTCCTGAATGGTATTGCCTAGGTTTTCTTCTAGGGTTTTTATGGTTTTAGGTCTAACATTTAAGTCTTTGATCCATCTTGAATTAATTTTTGTATACAGTGTGAGGAAGGGATCCAGTTTCAGCTTTCTACATATGGCTAGCCAGTTTTCCCAGCACCATTTATGAAATAGGGAATAGTTTCCCCATTTCTTGTTTTTGTCAGGTTTGTCAAAGATCAGATAGTTGTAGATAAGTGGCATTATTTCTGAGGGCTCTGTTCTGTTCCATTGATCTATATCTCTGTTTTGGTACCAGTACTATGCTGTTTTGGTTACTGTAGCCTTGTAGTATAGTTTGAAGTCAGGTAGCGTGATGCCTCCAGCTTTGTTCTTTTGGCTTAGGATTGACTTGGCAATGCGGGCTCTTTTTTGGTTCCATATGAACTTTGAAGTAGTTTTTTCCAATTCTGTGAAGAAAGTCATTGGTAGCTTGATGGGGATGGCATTGAATCTATAAATTACCTTGGCCAGTATGGCCATTTTCACGATATTGAGTCTTCCTGTCCATGAGCATGGAATATTCTTCCATTTGTTTATGTCCTCTTTTATTTCACTGAGCAGTTGTTTGTAGTTCTCCTTGAAGAGGTCCTTCACATCCCTTGTAAGTTGGATTTCTAGGTATTTTATTCTGTTTGAAGCAATTGTGAATGGGAGTTCACTCAAGATTTGGCTCTCTCTTTGTCTGTTATTGGTGTAGATGAGTGCTTGTGATTTTTTGCACATTGATTTTGTATGCTGAGACTTTGCTGAAGTTGCTTATCAGCTTAAGGAGATTTTGGGCTGAGACAATGGGGTTTTCTAAATATACAATCATGTCATCTGCAAACAGGGACGATTTAACTTCCCCTTTTCCTAAGTGAATAACCTTTATTTCCTTCTCCTGCCTGATTGCCCTGGCCAGAACTTCCAACACTATGTTGAATAGGAGTGGTGAGAGAGAGCATCCCTGTCTTGTGCCAGTTTTCAAAGGGCATGCTTCCAGTTTTTGCTCATTCAGTATGACATTGGCTGTGGGTTTGTCATAGATAGCTCTTATTATTTTGAAATACGTCCCATGAATACCTAATTTATTGAAAGTTTTTAGCATGAAGGGTTGTTGAATTTTGTCAAAGGCTTTTTCTGCATCTGTTGAGATAATCATGTGGTTTTTGTCTTTGGTTCTGTTTATATGCTGGATTACATTTATTGATTTGCGTATATTGAACCAGCCTTGCATCCCAGAGATGAAGCCCACTTAATCATGGTGGATAAGCTTTTTGATGTGCTGCTGGATTCGTTTTGCCAGTATTTTATTGAGGATTTTTGCATCAATGTTCATCAAGGATATTGGTCTAAAATTCTCTTTTTTGGTTGTGTCTCTGCCCAGCTTTGGTATCAGGATGATGCTGGCCTCATAAAATGAGTTAGGGAGGATTCCCTCTTTTTGTATTGATTGGAATAGTTTCAGAAGGAATGGTACCAGCTCCTCCTTGTACCTATGGTCGAATTCGGCTGTGAATCCATCTGGTCCTGGACTTTTTTTGGTCAGTAGGCTATTAATTATTGCCTCAATTTCAGAGCATGTTATTGGTCTATTCAGGGATTCAACTTCTTCCTGGTTTAGTCTTGGGAGGGTGTATGTGTCAAGGAATTTATCCATTTCTTCTAGATTTTCTAGTTTATTTGCATAGAGGTGTTTGTAGTATTCTCTGATGGTAGTTTCTTTTTCTGTGGGATTGGTGGTGATATCCCCTTTATAATTTTTTATTGCATCTATTTGATTCTTCTCTCTTTTCTTCTTTATTAGTCTTCCTAGTGGTCTATCAATTTTGTTGATCTATTTAAAAAATCAGCTCCTGGATTCATTGATTTTTTGAAGGGTTTTTTGTGTCTCTATCTCCTTCAGTTCTGCTCTGATCTTAGTTATTTCTTGCCTTCTGCTAGCTTTTGAATGTGTTTGCTCTTGCTTCTCTAGTTCTTTTAATTGTGATGTTAGGGTGTCAATTTTAGATCTTTCCTGCTTTCTCTTGTGGGCATTTAGTGCTATAAAATTCCCTCTACACACTGCTTTAAATGTGCCCCAGAGACTCTGGTATGTAGTGTCTTTGTTCTCATTGGTTTCAAGGAACATCTTTATTTCTGCCTTCATTTCGTTATGTACCTAGTAGTCGTTCAGGAGCAGGTTATTCACTTTCCATGTGCTTGAGCGGTTTTGAGTGAGTTTCTTAATCCTGAGTTCTAGTTTGATTGCACTGTGGTCTGAGAGACAGTTTGTTATAATTTCTGTTCTTTTTCATTTGCTGAGGAATGTTTTACTTCCAACTATGTGGTCAATTTTGGAATAAGTGTAGTGTGGTGCTGAGAAGAATGTATATTCTGTTGATTTGGGGTGGAGAGTTCTGTAGATGTCTATTAGGTCTGCTTGGTGCAGAGCTGAGTTCAATTCCTGGATATCCTTGTTAACTTTCTGTCTCATTGATCTGTCTAATGTTGACAGTGGGGTGTTAAAGTCTCCCATAATTATTGTGTGGGAGTCTAAGTCTCTTTCTAGGTTTCTAAGGACTTGTTTTATGAATCTGGGTGCTCCTGTATTGGGTGCATATATATTTAGGATAGTTAGCTCTTCCTGTTGAATTGATCCCTTTACCATTATGTAATGGCCTTCTTTGTCTCTTTTGATCTTTGTTGGTTTAAAGTCTGTTTTATCAGAGACTAGAACTGCAACCCCTGCCTTTTTTTGTTTTCCATTTGCTTGGTAGATCTTCCTCCATCCCTTTATTTTGAGACTATGTGTGTCTCTGTACATGAGATGGGTCTCCTGAATACAGCACACTGATGAGTCTTGACTCGTTATCCAGTTTGCCAGTCTGTCTTTTAATTGGAGCATTTGGCCCATTTACATTTAACGTTAATATTGTTATGTGTGAATTTGATCCTGTCATTATGATGTTAGCTGGTTATTTTGCTCGTTAGTTGATGGAGTTTCTTTCTAGCCTCGAAGGTCTTTACAATTTGGCATGTTTTTGCAGTGACTGGTACTGGTTGTTCCTTTCCATGTTTAGTGCTTCCTTCAGGAGCTCTTTTAGGGCAGGCCTGGTGTTGACAAAATCTCTCAGCATTTGCTTGTCTGTAAAGGATTTTATTTCTCCTTCACTTATGAAGCTTAGTTTGGTTGGATATGAAATTCTAGGTTGAAAACTCTTTTCTTTAAGAATGTTGAATATTGGCCCCCACTCTCTTCTGGCTTGTAGAGTTTCTGCCGAGAGATCCACTGTTAGCCTGACTGGCTTCCCTTTGTGGGTAACCCGACCTTTCTCTCTGGCCGCCCTTAACATTTTTTCCTTCATTTCAAATTTGGCAAATCTGACAATTATGTGTCTTAGAGTTGCTCTTCTTGAGGAGTATCTTTATGTTGTTCTCTGTATTTCCTGAATTTGAATGTTGGCCTGCCTTGCTAGGTTTAGGAAGTTCTCCTGGTTAATATCCTGCAGAGTGTTTTTGAAGTTGGTTCCAATCTCCCTGTCACTTTCAGGTACACCAATCAGATGTAGATTTGGTCTTCTCACATAATCCCATATTTCTTGGAGGCTTTGTTCATTTCTTTTTATTCTTTTTTCTCTAAACTTCTCTTCTCACTTCATTTCATTCATTTGATCTTCAATCATTGATACCCTTTCTTCTAGTTGATTGAATTGGCTACTGAAGCTTGTGCATTCATCATGTAGTTCTTATCTTGGTGTGGATGTCCTTTCTGTTTGTTAGTTTTCCTTCTGACAGTCAGGACCCTCAGCTGCAGGTCTGTTGGAGTTTGCTGGAGGTCCACTCCAGACCCTGTTTGCCTGGATATCAGCAGCGGAGGCTGCAGAACAGCGAATATTGCTGAACAGCAAATGTTGCTGCCCAGTTGTTCCTCTGGAAGCTTTGTCTCAGAGAGGTACCTGGCCATGAGAGGTGTCAATCTGCCCCTAAGGGATAAAGAAAATGTGGCACATATACATCATGGAATACTATGCAGCCATAAAAAGAGATTAATTCATGTCCTTTGCTGGGACATGGATGAAGCTGGAAACCATCATTTTCAGCAAACTAACACAGGAACAGATAACCAGACACCACATATTCTCACTCATAAGTGGGAGTTGAACAATGAGAACACATGGACACAGGTAGGGAAACATCACACACTGGGGCCTGTCATGTGGTTTGGGACTAGAGGAGAGATAGCATTAGGAGAAATACCTGATGTAGCTGACAGGTTGATAGGTGAAGCAAACCACCATAGCACGTGTATACCTGTGTAATAAATGTGCACGTTCTGCACATGTATCCCAGAACATGAAGTATAATAATTCAAAAAAGAAAGAAAACAAAAAGAAATTTGAACAAAATTAGAAAATAAGATTGTTGCAGGAAGTCAGGGACCCTGAATGGAAGGACTGTTGAAGCCGCAGCAGAAGAACAGAAATCATGAAGATTTCATGGACATTTAATAGTTCCCCAAATTAATACTTTTGCAATTTCTTACGCCTGTCTCTCACGTTTCTTACATTTATCTCTGAACATAAATTATGAAGATTTCATGGACATTTATCACTTCCCCAATCAATACTCTTATAATTTCCTATGCCTGTCTTTACTTTAATCTCTTAATCCCATCATCTTCATAAGCTGAGGATGTATGTCGCCTCAGGACCGTGCGATGATTGCATTAACTGTACAAATTGTTTGTAAAGCATGTGTGTTTGAACAATATGAAATCTGGGCACCCTCAAAAAGAATAGGATAACAGCGATTTTCAGGGGACAAGGGAGATAACCATAAGATCTGACTGCCTACAGGGCCGGGCAGAACAGAGTCATATTTTTCTTCTTGTAGAAAGCAAATAGGAGAAATATCATTGAATTCTTTTCCTAGCAAGGAATAACCCTGGAGAAGGAATGCATTCCCAGGAATAGGTCTATGGACAGCTGCTCTGGGAGTGTTTGCCTTATGCGGTTGAAGATAAGGGATGAAATATGCCCTGGTCTCCTGCAGTGCCCTCAGGCTTGCTAGGATTAGGAAATTCCAGTCTGGTGAATTCTAGTCAGACTGGTTGTCTGCTCTTGAATCCTGTTTCCTGTTAAGATGTTTATTAAGACAATATGTGCCCAGCAGGACATGGAACCTCGTCAGTAATTCTAATTTCGCCCTGGCCTTGTGATCTTGCTCTTCCTGTCTTCCCTTGTGATCTTTTATTGCCCTTTGAAGCATGTGATCTTTGAGACTTATGCCCTGTTCGTACCCCCTTCCCCTTTTGAAATCCCTAATAAAAACTTGCTGGTTTTGCAGCTCAGGGGCATCATGGAACCTACCAATAGGTGATGTCACCCTCGAGGCCCAGCTGTAAAATTTCTTTCTTTTGTACTCCTTCTCTTTATTTCTCAGACCGACCGACACTTAAGGAAAATAGAAAATAACCTACGTTGAAATATTGGGGGCTGGCTCCCCCAATATAAAATGATTTTATATCACAATTAGGGCTATGAAAAAAAATAAAGCAGGGTCATGGAACAGGGAATAGCAGAGAAGGAAGGTGAAGGCAAACTCCTCTGAGAGGGAGACACCAATGGAAACCAAATGGTGAGGAATCAGCCAGGCACAGATCTGGGTGAACGTAAGATCAGATATAAAGATGCATGTACCTTTTACAGAATTTTAATTCCAAGACAAATTTATAAAAACATACAAAATAAAATAATATGTTAAACATGTTTAAATTTACAAATCTAATTTAATGTTCTGTTGAAACTGAGGTATCTGCCACAGTGTGACTATTTACAAGTGTTTTAACACAGGTTTTCCGAGTCTTGCTGGTCTACAATGACGGAGCCGTGTGATGCCTCAATTTCTTGAGCTCTTTGTCTATTCATACAATCCTAAAACATCTGTTCCAATAGCACATAGTGATAACATCCAGCATTTGCTTGATGTGAACAGTCATATACCTATGAAACTCACCTGTGTTCTTTTCTCATTTGCTTAGAACAGAAGTTAGAAAAGTACCAGGTGATGACATGCATATAAACAAATGCATATCTTCTTGTATCACCGGTGAAATGTAATGGAGCTTTCTTTTGCCAACATAGAAGCACTCTCAAGGCTGGGAGGATGGAGGAAAACTCCTCATTAGCTCTGACCTACTGCAGTAGAACATTCTTCTCATAAGCATGTGCAACACAGTTGGCTAAAATTCTTAAACAAAAGCACGCAAAAATATTTCCATTTAATGGGAACAAGTTATTTTCAACATGTAATTTTTCAACCCTTTTTTATGCTGGTTTCAGAAAAAAATGTTTAAACCAGAAATAATAATATAGATGCCATTTTTGAATTTTTTCTATCTATTCATTTCACTTCAGATACTAGGAATGTCTGTTTTTAAAAAGAATTCTAATTAAATAAAAATTTTTCTTCTTCTACCAAACAAACAAATCTGTAAGATAATATGTATTTGAATGGCAACCAAATTGTTAGCTAACTCTAATTGCCCACATATCTTAGCCCAGCCCTGTTTCTTCCTCATGTCTGACTGAAGCTAGCCCCATCTCTTTCTACTCTTTTTCTACAGCTGGCAGAAGTTGCATTAAATCGCCTGCCAAAATGACTTGGTCTGTAATCTTTAACCAAGGCTGTCTATTTCTGACTCACTTCACAGATGGGAAACGGAAGTCCAGAGAATTTCAAAATATTGCCTGAGTGCATCAGCTAATTAGAGGTGAAATTGGAACAAAGCCATTTAAAAGTCTCATGACTTCAACAGTGCAATGATCGTTCCCTTACGTTTCAAAACTTCTTTCATTAAACAAAATGCTTACAAGACAGTTTGTTAAAATATTATTATTAGCTCCAAAAGAAAAAAAAACTTTAAAAAATTTAAAATATACATTCAATGGACATGAAAAAATGCAGCTAAAAACAGGAAGATAGGGAGAATGGGGCAAAAGAAAAATGCATGTAGTAAAATATTATTAAGCCATGAATGAGATGATTACAACATGATCTGTAAGAATCACGAGAGTTGTTAGACATGGGTCCAAATTTGGCCCCAAGTTTTCTGGCAGCCAACACAAAGAAGGAAATTACATAAGTAGATAATCTACAGTCCCACTAAAATAAAAATAAACTAGTTTTCAGGAATATCACAAGCAGCCCTGGGAAAGAGAAAATCCCTTCATTCTAATATAAGACTACCTAGAATGTCAGTGAGTTGGACACTAATCTCAATTGATATTTAGGCACATCATAATTCTCAATCAATAGATTGTGCCTTAATATCTATTCTCATCAACAGATTGAGAATTATGATGTGCCTAAATTCCCTAAGAAGTTTTATTAATATGCTGCAGTTTTAACTCAGCACTTTAGTAAGTGGTCTGAAACAGAATTTCTGCCATTGATTTATTAGGGGTAATAAAGGAAAGTTTCTGTAATCAAAGGCTGGCTGTACACAAGCCAATATAGATCCTTCAAAGCTTCTTAAAACCTTTAAAGTTGCCAAAGTGCACGGTGACTCTCAAATTTAGGTGACGTTTAAAAAATCAAAGAAATTTATCAATGAACTGGTATTATATAGAACATAATTTGAGAAGTCCTCTGCTAGATATCTGAAACACTGCCTAACTCACATTAGAATCTTGATGACTTATCTGGAAATGACCTTTACTGTGCAAACTTGGTAAAATAAAATAAAATAAAATAAAATACAAGAAGAAGCACGATGATATGCAACAGATAGTGACTGGTGATTGGGTATTGTAATTTTCATCCAGGAGGCAGATGGAAAAAGTGCGACTAGAATTTTCACTGGAGATGTCAGAGGTATTTGAACCAGAGTGACCTCATCTTGAATAGGGACTAAGTAAAATAAGGCTGAGATCTGCTGGGCTGCATTCTCAATAGGTTAGGCATTCTTAGTCACAAGATGAGATAGGAGGCACAAGATACAGGTTATAAAGACCTCACTGATAAAACTGGTTGCAGTAAAGGAGCCAGCCTGAAACCTCCAAATCCAAGATGGCGTTGAAAGTGACTTCCGGTCATCCTCACTCCTCCTTGTACGCTAACTATAATGCATTAGCATGCTAAAAGACACTCCCACCAGCACCGTGACAGTTTACAAATGCCATGGCAACATCAGGAAGTTAACCTAAATGGTCTAAAAAGGAGAGGTTCACCCTTTTCCCAGAAAATGCATGAATAATCCACTCCTTGTTTAGCATATAATCAAGAAATAACTATAAGAATACTCAGCTGAGCAGCCCATGCCACTGCTCTGCCTATGAAGTAGCCATTCTTTATTTCTTTACTTTCTTAATAAACTTGTTTTCACTTTACAGAGCCACCCCAAATTCTTTCTTGTACAAGGTCCAAGAACCCTCTCTTGGGGTCTGGATCAGGACCCCTTTCTGGTAACAGAAGTAGGAGTCTTTCAAGTTAGCAGAAAAGGGAATTTGAGTTCATTGTGTGTGGTCTTCTTTGCTGCAACAAGTAAAAAGCCCAGCTTCATAAGATGCCTTCATGTGGTATAAAATAACATGGATATCCTCCCTTGGATTTCCTTAAGTCTTCAAGATGTGGTTAAATTCCTTTCCTTCTCATGATGTCTTCTCATAGCACCATCAGTGCACCGTGAAATCAAACTTCTGTGATTTCAGAGAATTTATTAAACTATCTGACAAGTGTTTGCTTTGTCTCTGCATTTAGAGTGCATGTTTTGTATCTCCCAGAGAGCACAATAGCTTGTCTTGTCATGATAGTGTAAGCTGAAAAGTATCTGAGATAGGTCTCAATCAATGTAAAGGTGTATTTTGCCAATGTCATTCAACATGCCCAGGAAAAAGGAACACAAAACTACAGGACTATCTGTAAGCCATGCCTTTTCCTAAGAGGATTTTGAGGGCTTCAATGTTTAACAGGGAAAAGTGTGCAATGGGGGAAAGAGGGCATGTATAACATTACTGAATCCACATGTGGCATGTGATAAGTAGAGGGTAGAGGGAAACAGTTAATTATGTATTCTCTTGTGTTCAGTAAATCTGCACTTTACATAAAATAAAGTAAACATAGAGCAGTTACTCGTACAGACATCTGGCTTTCTATCTGTAGCTATCAGCTTAGAAACAAAAGGAAAGGCAATTTCTTGTGTGACTCAATTTCCAAGCTTAACTTTTCCCTTTGGCCTAGTGAATTTGGGGTCCCAAGGATTTACTTTCTTTTCACAATAAACACTACAGTTTTGTGACTGACTGAATGAAACAACATGATTGACTTGATTGTGTAAAAGGTTTTCTTAATAATGGTAAATGCCAAATTAAAGACTGACTTGTCTAAAGACAAGACCTGACTTGAGGATTGAAATAATGTGACATCTTTATACCTAAAATTTATGAATTTAGGCTTGTAATTATAATTAGCATCAACCTTTTAAAAGAAAAATATATGAGTTATTCCAGACAACACAGGCTAATCTAAAATAATAATTGCTAACATGTATCAAGCTTACATCTTATCTCACTTAATTCTTACAACAGCTTTATGAGACCCTATTGTCCTGATTATACAGAAGGAAAAAGTACGTTGGAGGAGTTGAGGGATTTCTCACGGTTACACAGGTGTAACTGAAATACAGGTTAGGCACTTGCCACTTGCAGAGTCCCATTATCAAGACCGATTTCTGGTATAAAGAAAGTGATTTATTCCAAAGTTAGTTTGGGGAAGAAAAACAGGTTTCCCACCTGAGGATACTACTTTGCTTTTGGAGCAGAAAGTAGACACTTTGAAAGGAAGAGGAGAAAGCGAGCAAGAGAGGGGTCCATGTGCTAGCTCTGGTGCCTTGCCTACTGTGCAGTCGAGCTGGTGACTGCTGGCCTCTTCATGGGCGGGAATAGGCCAGAAACTCCCCAGCTAGGAGATAGCAGCAGGCACGCTTTTTGACTGTTACCTCTTGAGGCAATCTCCTGGTAAGTGAGAGTTCTGTGACAGTCATGCTATTTTTTGTTTGTTTGTTTGTTTGTTTTGAGATGGAGTCTTGCTCTGCAGCCCAGGCTAGAGTGTCGTGGCTCCATCTCAGCTCACCGCAAGCTCTGCCTCCCGGGTTCAAGTGAATCTCCTGCCTCAGCCTCCTGAGTAACTGGGATTATAGGCATGCATCACCATGCCCGGCTAATTTTTGTATTTTTAGTAGAGATGGGGTTTCACCATGTTGGTCAGCCTGGTCTCGAACTCCTGACCTCATGATCCGCCTGCCTCCACCTCCCAAAGTGCTGAGATTACAGGCGTGAGCCACTATGCCCGGCCACAGTCATGCTTTCATTTGTAAATCAACTGTTAACTCTAGAGGAGAGCTCTCTCTTGCAGCACGTACTTATATGAACTTGCCCTGTACAAAGTGTCTGGTGAATGGGGTAAAAGGCTATATTTGCATTTCTAAAGGGCTGAGTAGGAAGTGGGGAACCAGGGAAACAAGAAAAGAAAATAAAGATAGAAAAAAAATGATTAATCTATCTTTTAGAAAATACGCATACTTGGTTACACAGTCAGTAAATGATAGAGCCAGAATTCAAATCTCATCTGATTTCAAATACTGTGCATTCTCTCTACTCTGTTAAGCTGCTTGCCACTGATGAAGTTGCTTTGTCTCCTAAAAGAGTATATTATCTTAAAGTTAATTCAAACTACTTGACAAAATATTATCAACTTGATGAACTATAATAATGATAAGTAGGAGAACCACAAAATGTTCAAAGAAGAAAGTCTATAAAAATAAACTCAAAATTAATGGCAGCTTTTAACTTGTTTTTGTTTGTTTGTTTTTTAATTCAAATTATTGTTCTGACCTGGGGGCCTTGTAGCTTATTTTAAGCAAAAGCTTTCCCTTATCTTAGGCTAAAAAGGCTAGTTCAAAAGAACCACATGCCCTGCAAACCTTCAGCTGCTGCCACCAACCAGGGACAGATTTTATTTTATAGAAGGTAAAGACCCATTGTTCTCTCATTGATTGTTAAATCCATTTCATGCATCGATAATAATTTCTCAGCAACACTGCAATATGTGTATACCAATAGATTTCATTTTTTTTTTAGCCACCTGCCTTGGTGTCCTGCCTGAGAAACATGTTTATCCTGGTAAAGGTTGGTGTTTGCTTTGTGTATTGTAAACACCCAGAATTGTTATTAACTATTTGGTTACTTCAGTTGTCCTTTGCAATCGTTATCTGACTAGATATTTACAAATGCAGACAGAAAACAACCTCATTCACTTAGGAATTCTTTAAAGTACCTAATGCTTTCTTTAGGAGAGAGGTTATATCAAGTTAAAAGTTCTCAAGGAAAGAACTGGTCTCAGAATTTTTGCCATAGCCACCAGCCACAGGTGGCTATTGAGCACATGAAATGTGGCAGGTTCAAATCGAGATGTGAGTGTAAAATATACACCAGATTTCAAACAGTAAGCACTAAAACAGATGGAAAATAGCTCCTGAACAATTCTTATATTGATTGTTTGGTCAAATGAAATCTATTCTTAAAATTAAATTTTAAGGCCAGGCGTGGTGGCTCACACCTGTAATCCTAGCACTTTGGGAGGCAGAGGCAGGCGGATCACCTGACGTCACGATTGTGAGATCAACCTGGCCAACATAGTGACACTCCAACTTCATTAAAAATACAAAAATTAGCCGGGCATGGTGGTGCACATCTGTAGTCCCAGCTACTTGGGAGGCTGAGGCAAGAGAAACGCTTGAACAAGGGAGGTGGAGGTTGCAGTGAGCCGAGATTGTACCACTGCACCCCAGCCTGGGCAGTGAGCCGAGATCACACCACTGTACCCCAGCCTGGGCTATAGAGTAAGACTCCGTCTCAAAAAAAAAAAAAAAAAAAACTAAATTTTGCTTATTTCTTTCTACATTTTTACAGGAAAATCCAAAATTATATATGTGTCTCGAACTATATTTCTACTGGATGTCTCCATCCTGGACTTTTCTACAACAAATAACTGTCACTCTTTATAATTTTAACTCCCTGCATACCGTTTTCTGCCCACCATCTTTCTGTTTACAGCTTACTTGTTTTACCATCCTGACCTCAGCAATCTTTCTGGGATCTCTGATGCACTGAACTAACTAACGTTTCTCTGTCCTTCACCCCTTGAGTGTGCTTGCCCCACTCTCACCTTGTTGCACATGGCGATTAATGATTAGTGATTTCAGTCACTCCTTGCCATTTACTCTCAGTTCTCTTGTTCTCTCTCACTTGGTCACACTTCTAGAGCCAAAATTCTATCCTGGATAAATTGCACTCTCCAGTGATTTGGTGCCTGCTCTCTGGCAACTGAATGTGGCTGGAGAAAAAAAAATAAACAAAAACTCAAAACCAAATTTACTAGATTCAGTTTAAAATCATAACCATGAATGTCAAGTGGACTCTCCACATTGCTAGGACATCACGCGATACATTTTGAGATCATTCTTTTGTTTTTGTTTTTGTGTTAGTTTTGAGACAGCATCACATCTCTCTCTGTCACACAGTCTGGAGTACAGTGGCACAATAATGGGTCACTGCAATCTCTGCCTCCCAAGTTCAAGCGATTCTTGTGCCTCAGCATCCTGAGTAGCTGCAACTACAGGTGCATGCCACCACATGTGGATAATTTTTGTATTTTTATTAAAGGTGGGGTTTTGCCATGTTGGCCAGGCTGATCTCAAACTCCTGGCCTCAAGTGACCCACCTGCCTTGTCCTCCCAAACTGTTAGGATTACAGGTGTGAGCCACTGTGGCTGGCCTACTAGACCATTGATTTTATCAATTTTCACACCTTAGCCTCTCTCTCAAACCTCTATTTCTACTTTCAGCTGATTACTCTGATATCTTTTTCACTAAGAAATTTCAAATAATCAGAGGAATATTACCATTTTGATATCTATAGCCTCCTAGTATGTATTCCCATATAATCTGAATTCCTATGTTCATATCACAAATGAACTATCTATTGCAAACTCTCTATTTGGGTGTTAAATCATGATTCATCGAACTCCTCAAGAATTGTGCTCTGACAAATAGGCCTTCTTCCTCCCACATATTTACTTTTTAGGGCATTTATACTTACGAATTTATAAATTTATAAAAATGGTATTATGTCTCTAATTTATGAAAAAACTTTTATTGGTTACATTTTCCGTGTCGGCACCATTTTATTGTTTTGCTTAGTAGTAAAACTCCTCAAGACAGTGGTTTGTTATTTGCTTCTACCACTTTTCTAACACTGCCACATTGCTGAAATCAATGGTCAATATTCAGGCCTCATTGTGCTTGACCCATCAGCAACATTTGACACAGCTGATCACTATGTTCATTACCCTTTCCAGCTTCTGGTAGCTTTTAGCATTCCTGAGCATGCGGCAGCATTAACTTCACCTCTGCTTCACCTCCATCTTCACACAGCTTTCCTTTCTGCACTTTTCTGTGTCCAAGTATTCTTCTCTTTTTGGTCTTTTATGAAGACACCAGTTATTCGGATTTAAGAACCACCTTAAGTCCAGGATCTTGAGATCCTTAAATAATTATATTTATAAAAATCTTGGCCGGGCACAGTGGCTCACGCCTGAATCCCACCACTTTGGGAGGTTGAGGTGGGCAGATCACGAGGTCAAGAGATCGAGACCATCCTGGCCAACATGGTGAAACCCCATGTCTACTAAAAATACAAAAATTAGCTGGGTGTTGTGGCATGCAACTGTAGTCCCAGCTACTCAGGAGGCTGAGGCAGGAGAATTGCTTGAACCCGGGAGGCAGAGGTTGCAGTGAGCTGAGATCATGCCACTGCACTCCAGCCTGGCAATAGAGTGAGACTCTGTCTCAAAACAAAACAAAACAAACAAACAAAAAATTATTTCCAAAGAAAGTCACATTCTGAGATTCTAGATGGACATGGATTTTGGGAAATACTGTTTTACTCTTTGCAGGACCTTGGTATCCTTAAATAACTATAACTATAAAGATCCTATTTCCAAACAAGGTCATAATTTAAAGTTCTGGATGGACATGAATTTTGGGAAATACTATTTTACTACAGTGTGTAAAATCTACATGAGAAAAAATTGACAATCATTTATGTTATATTATCACCCAGGAATTGTGCCTTTTCAATGTTCTATTGTTTATTTTGCTATCTTTGAGTTATTTTTGTTTTATTTTGATCTATTTTTTTAGAAAATGCATTTACCACACAACTAATAACCTTCTACTAGAATAGTGCCCAAAGTTATGGAAATGATGAGAAATCAATATTTTTGTTCTAAATAATTGACAGTCAGGTAAATGTCTCCCTGATGTTCTAGTACACAGAGATAAGAGATCAGAGTTGAGAAAACGAAACTTAAAACTGCAGGGAGAATATTTGAAGAAACCCTGTCCAAGTCACCTTGACCCATGAAATCATGTACTGTGTGGACACATAATTTGGCAAGCTAATGGGCCTACAAGTTAAGCATTAGTGGAGTCCTTCCCCATCTCTTGACCAATAATAGGAATACTTTCAATATTTATGGCAAACCATGGAGTTGTTTTAAACTGAAGCTGTCCCACTAATGGTGTGGCTGCAGCTGAGTGACAAACAGAAACCTCCCACAAACTGAACCAGTAACTGCCCAAGAAACTGGAGAACTGAAATAAGAAACTCATCAACAGGTTCCCAAAAGCCTTTTGTTTTCAAAAGACTGAACATACCAGCTAGGTATGGGCTTTTTAAAAAGTACAAATGAGGCTGAGCACGGTGGCTCACGCCTGCAATCCTAGCACTTTGGGAGGCCGAGGCAGGTGGATCACGAGGTCAGGAGTTCAAGACCAGCCTGACCAATATGGTGAAACCCCATCTCTACTAAAAATACAAAAATTAGCCCGGTGTGGTGTCACACGCCTATAATCCCAGCTACTCAGGAGGTTGAGGCAGGAGAATCACCTGAACCCAGGAGGCAGACGTTGCAGTGAGCGGAGATGGTGCCACTGCACTCCAGCCTGGGCAACAGAGTGAGATTCCATCTCAAAAAAAAAAAAAAGTACAAATGATTAGGATATATCCATGGCACATTTAATAAATGTTTGTTGATAATGATATCACAGGCATGTAGTATTTACTTATGTATATTACTCCTGTGCATATTATTTTTAAAAAGAGTTGCTTCCTATATTTAAAGATCTAAGGATGAACATTTCATGCAATCAGTACATGAAAGTAAAAATCAAAAGAATTGAACAAGTTCAACATCTTGCTAGCTACGGTCATGTACAAAAAATGGAATAAAGAAATAAGCAGTATGTGATTCACTTCTGTTTTGACCCAAGAAGTTTAGGATTTTGACTGGTAGTATATATGATAGAAAAGTATAAAATAAATATAACATAAGTAAATTCTTATTTAAAAAGAGCATCCAGAAGCTAGTATTTCTATATGTTGCCTTAAGTCTCTCTTCATAACCACTCAAATTATCGAGAGCTATAATGGTCAGGAACTCTATCTCCTTTTCTACAGCTAAACATGTTGGTGCTTTAAATTGGGAAACCCAATTTTAAAGCATTACAAGTTTGAGTTATTAAATTAGCAATGTTTTTTTCTTCCAAAATATATTTACATTATTTACTTTTAATAGATAATTGTGGAAAATGAGTGATATGGTTTTGCTTGGTCCCTACCCAAATCTCATCTTGAATTGTAGCTCCTGTGATTTCCACATGTTGGGGGAGGGACCCAGTAGCAGGTAACTGAATCATGGGAGCAGGTCTTTCCCTTGCTGTTCTCATGATAGTGAATAAGTATCACGAGATCTGATGGTTTTATTAAGGGGAGCTCCCTTGCACATGTCCTCTTGCCTGCTGCCATGTAAGATGGGACTTTGTCATTTGCCTTCTGCCATGATTGTAAGACATCCCCAGCCATGTGGAACTGAGTCCATTAAACCTCTTTCCTTTATAAATTACCTAGTCTCAGGTATGTCATTATTAGCAGCGTGAGAACAGACTAATACAGTAAATTGGTACCGGTAGAGTGGGGAGCTGCGATAAAGATACCCAAAAACATGGAAGTGACTTTGGAACTGGGTAACAGGCAGAGCTTGGAACAGTTTGGAAGGCTCAGAAGAAGACAGGGAGATGTGGGAAAGTTTGGAACATTCTAGAGAATTGTTGAATAAAATGCTGATAGTGATATGAACAATAAAGTCCAAGCTGAGGTAGTCTCAGATGGGCATGAGAAACTTGTTGGAAACTAGAGCAAAGGTGACTCTTGCTATGTTTTAGCAGAGACTGGTGGCATTTTGCCCCTGCCCTGGAGGTCTGTGGAACTTTGAACCTGAGAGTGATGAATTAGGACATCTGGTGCAAGAAATATTTCTAAGGAGAAAAGTGTTCAAGAGGTTACTTGGGTACTATTAAAAGTATTGAGTTTTATGTATGCACAACAATATGGTTTGGAATTGGAACTTATGTTTAAAAGGGAAGCAGAGCATAAAAGTTCAGAAAATTTGCAGCCTGATGATGCCATAGAAAAGAAAAACTCATTTTCTGAGGAGAAATTCAAGTGAGCTGTAGAAATTTGCATAAGTAATGAGGAGTCAAATGTTAATTGCCAAGACAATGGGAAAAATGTCTCCATGGCATGTCAGAGATCTTCATGGCAGCCCCTCTCATCACAAGCAGGGAGGCCTAGGAGGAATAAATGGTTTTATGGGCCAGGCCCAGGGCCTTGCTGCTTTGTGCAGTCTCAGGACGAGCCGGTGGGTACACAGAAATCATGGATGAAATTGGAAATCATCATTCTCAGTAAACTATCGCAAGAACAAAAAACCAAACACTGCATATTCTGACTCATAGGTGGGAGTTGAACAATGAGAACACATGGACACAGCAAGGGGAACATCACACTCTGGGGACTGTTGTGGGGTGGGGGGAGGGGGAGGGATAGCATTGGGAGATATACCTAATGCTAGATGACGAGTTAGTTGGTGCAGCGCACCAGCATGGCACATGTATACATATGTAACTAACCTGCACATTGTGCACATGTACCCTAAAACTTAAAGTATAATAATAATAAATAAATAAATAAATAAATAAATAAATAAATAAAAAGAATTGAGTTTTGGGAACTTCCGCCTAGATTTCAGAGGATGTATGGAAATGCCTGGATATCCAGGCAGAGGTGTGCTGCAGGGGCAGAGTCCTCATGGAGAACCTCTGCTAGGGCAGTGCAGAAGGGAAATGAGGGGTTCCAGCTCCCACAGAGTCCCCACTGGAGTATTGCCTAGTGGAGTTGTGAGAAGAGGGCCAAAATTCTCCAGACCCCTGAATGGTAGATCCACTGACAGCTTGCACTGTGTACCTGAAAAAGCTGCAGACACTCAATGCCAGCCTGTAAAAGCAGCCAGGAAGGGGACAGCCCCTGCAAAGCCACAGGGGCAGAGGTGCCCCAAGACCATGGGAACCGGCCTCTTGCATCAGTACAACGTGACTGTGAGACATGAGTCAAAGGAGATCATTTTGGAGCTTTACAATTTGACTGCCTTGCTGGATTTTGGACTTGCATGGGGCCTGTAGCCCCTTCATTTTGACCAATTTCTCCCATGGAATAGTTGTATTAACTGAATGCCTGTACCCCTATTGTATCTAGGAAGTAACTAGTTTGTTTTTGATCTTACAGGCTCATAGGTGAAAGGAACTTGCCTTGTCTCAGACTGAGACTTTGGACTGTGGACTTTTGAGTTAATCCTGAAATGAGTTAAGACTTTGGGGGACTGTTGGGAAGGTGTGATTGATTTGGAAATGTGAGGACATGAGATTTAGGAGGGGAGAGGGGCAGAATAATATGATTTGGCTGTGTCCCCACCCAAATCTCATCTTGAATTGTAGCTCCCAAATGTCATGATGATAGAGACAGGAGGCAGCCAAAGGTTCCGCTACCCTTCATAACCCACCTACCCCAGCCCCCTCCACCCCTGTGAAACCCTACCTTCAAGTCTAAAACAGCCTGAAGGCTGAAAAACCAGACTGCCAATCTGGATGAAGCCCGCCCTTTCCTGATTGACTCTGAATAATGCCCAGCTGTGCACTGGAAGAATGGGACGTAGCCTCAGGAAATGCATGTCATTTGTGGGGGGTGGAGCCTGGCTTCTCCTGTTCCTGGGTGGGGACCTGGGATTCAGTTTGTGAGGTGGGAAACCTGCTCACAGGACTCTTTCCTGCTTTGCTGAGAGTTAGTTTTCCTTTTTGCCTAATAAAATAAATTTTGTTCCCCTTCAACCTTTAACGTGTCTGTGTGCCTAACTTTTCCTGGTTGTGTGACAAGAACCCAGTTTTTTTCTACAACATTTTTGGTGGCCAACATTCGGCTTGAGGAAGGGTGAGTACCGTGCAAACCAACACATCTTTTTTCCTTTTGCTTCTAAGCCTTTTTCTCCTCAGACCTCTTCTGAGGGGAGAGGAAATTGTGCACTACCCCACCCTGATGGCTGCAGGCATACACAGGATGGGCAAATAAATGGTGGGTTCCTCGCTCCCCTCCCTGCCAGGGCTGGGCTGCATGGCCCAAGGGTGCCCAACAGCAGGCTGGTCAATGCTCCCTGCCATGCAACCATGGAGCCTTCCCCTCCCCCGGCCAAAAATTGTACTCTGATTGACTGCAATTAAATATATCTCCCTTGTGGAGGAAACTATTTGCATAAGAATAAGAGGTTCTTCCACAGGTATCTTTTCTTTTCTCCACCCTGTCAACAGGTAACACAGCCCTGCATTTAAACGTCTTTTCCTTTTCTCCACTGGGTCAGCAGTTGACTTAAGCAAGGGTTTTTGTTTTTTGTTTTTTTTCCTTTTGGAAGATGTTTTGCTAGGCCAGGAGTGATGGGGATCATTGTTTATATTTTCTGTAGAGTTTTAATTGTGACAAATTCTTTATGAGGTTGGTTTTAAGCTGTAGCCAATCTGGTATGCTTTGCATGATTTTCTTTTTTTTTTTTAAAGATGGAGTGTCACTCTGTCACCCAGGCTGGAGTGCAGTGGCACCATCTCAGCTCAGTGCAACTTCCACTTCTCTCTCTCAAGTGATCATCCTGCCTTACCCTCTCAAATAGCTGTGATTACAGGCATGCATGCACCACCACACCCAGCTAATTTTTGTATTTTTAGTAGAGACCGGATTTCACCATGTTGGCCAGGCTGGTCGCAAACTCCCGACCTCAGGTGGTTCACCTGCCTTGGCCTCCCAAAGTGCTGGGATTATAGGTATGAGCCACAACTCCAGGCCTTTGCATGACTTTCTGTATGGTCAGCAGTGAACTTTGCTGCAGGCCTCCATCTTGGTTTATGGACTTGGGGGCATGACGTGTAACTCCATGGCAATGTTTTGCTTAGCCTCTGCACAACCCAGGTTCAGTCATGGCTTAGCAACTGAGTCCTTTCAGGTTTGATATCTGTGTAACTTTTCTATTTGTTGATTCTCTTCTCCTCCATGAACCATCTTGGATTTTCCTTTCTCTGAGGCTTTAGTAAAGTTTGAAAGGCTGAAATACTGGCTTCTTGGTATGGCTAAAGTCAGGTAATAGGAGATTTAAAAGGATTTTCTTAAGGAGTGCTCAACTAAATTAAAGATGAATATCTAAGTTACAGGTATATTTAAAAGGCCTTTTTGTTTTATTTTATTTTTTTCTCTTCTGGGATCTTGCTTTGCTGGAAAACGGCTTTTTCTCAGTTGGCTGTATTATTTTTCTCCATTCTGCTTTGCCAATTTTAATGCACACAAGAGAGGGGAGAGATCTCTGTCTTCCTCATTGAACCCCAGGAATTAAAAGTGGATAGATCCCTCTCAAAATCTCTTTTCGCCTCCCAGTAATGCCTGCCTATTAGGCTCTAAAAGCTGCTTGTTTTCCTAGCCCTCCCTCTTAAAGGGACCAATAATCCAAATAGAAGATCAGAAAATGAAAAATCGTATGGCTACTGGGTTTTCTTCTTCCTGTCTGTGTAGTTATATATGTGTTGGGTGTGTAATGTCTATTTAAAAAAAAGGTCTAATTAATTGGCCTAAAAGAAGATAAGTGCTTGGATCAAATATTTTTTAAAGGGTAAAATAAAAGCTGTGGTACCTTTCAGTTCATATGACTTTCATCTTCAAAAAATTTAAACAGCCTAAAAGATTATTGGTAAAGTGCAGATGTCATCAAAATATAAATAGGTGGACTAAATTATGCAGGTCAACTGCTAGGTTTGCTAAATGTTTTAAGGTCATAAACTGCTTTTTGGGTTTTGAGAACTATTTGTCTTGCCTGCTCCACAATTGGTAAGGCCTGGGGACATATAGAAATAACCACGCCCTTAATTATGCTGGAATTAGTCAAACCTTGGATGCACCTAGCACATAATCAAAACAACTTACCAAGTTTTACATTAAAGTTAAAAATTGCTAGGAGTAACCATTATAACATGTAATTGAAACTACTGGAAATAGATTTACATGCAAGCTGTATAAGAACAGTAGGATGTGTTTTTAGTAAAAGATTATAAGAAGGTGTGGAAATGTAAGTTCTTGCTTAGGTTTAAAAGATTGTTTTGAATTTGATAAGATAAAGCTAAAAGTCCAAACAAGTTGTAAAGGAATTGTACAAATTAATCTTGCAAAAATTCAATATGTGAACATATTGACTAAATTCAAAAGGATATTATATGGTTTTCTTGTAAATTGAGCATTAAAGTAAAAGCAAAACAAGGTTCTCTTAAGGCACTAATCTGCTCTTTAGCAAAATTTTTAAGGGGTTATAAAAAGTTTTTTGTTTTTTAAATTTCTGATTCATCATTTTGGCAAAATAAATAACAAGGTAATCTGGAGTTCTATTTCATAATATCAAGTGTTTTAAACCGCTAACACATTTAACAGGCTTCTGAAAATCAAATTCAGTTTCAAAATTTTCTTTCCTGATGCCTGGCTTTTTGATGCTTCAGAGAGCCCTTGGAGTATCCAAAAGAGAGGAAAACAGGATTATTTGACATATTTAGGTATATGAGATTACCAAAATGGTGTTCAATATTCTTTAGGTTATATTTTGGTAAATAATACTAATATGTGTTTCAAATTTGTATGGGATTTTAAAAATTCTAATGTCTGAGTATACGCTATCATAATTAAGGTTTTTATGTTAAATAATTGTAAATGACAGAGATAACCAAGCTTCTTTGTCAATTGTGTTTCTAACTGTAACTAACCTGGACATTTTGTTATTCACAGACAATTTTCTTGTTTTAATTCTTTTCAAAAGATGGCTTATAATAAGCTGTAGAACTCTGACAGGTGCTCTCAAATACAGGTTTCTGATAACTTTGGAATAAAGGGAAAACACACAGAACTCATGAAGAGCTAAAATATTCACAAACCCATAAAAAAACTGAGGCAATCTTTTTGACTTTTGCTTGGAATATTGCTGATCCTTGTTTTTTTTTCAGAGTCAAGGAAACTTATTTTGAACTATTTATGACTTTTAATAATTGAGTAAGGTATACTCCTGTCAACAAAATACAGAGCATGTTTGTCTCTCTGCCTGGCTTCTCCAGAATTTGCAAACTAGTTGTGAATATTCTTAACTTATGGCAATATAAATGTTTGCATCAGTGCAATAAGAATCCATTTTCTTTTGCAAGAGGGTGCAATTGATAAACTAGTTTTTTTACCAAGGTGTTGACTGGAAGGGTATGCTTCCTTTTAAGGAGTCAAGCTCAACTTGCAGAGCCGATAAGAGTTTCTTGAGAAAACTGGCCTCATACCCTTGTCTACACAGTCCCTCTACAGGGTTTCTGACCTGTGGTTAGTAAAGAATGTCACTTTCTTACAGGCTCAGGAGCTCCAAGTTTATCTTGGGACCTTAAGAGGAGACGATTACCCAACTCACAGGTATTTGAGCATATAAACTGATGGCTGGGCTTGGCTTTAAAAAGTCTTATCTGAGATTCCTCGTGGAACAGATTTCCATCAAAACCAATGTAAAAGGCCTATGTAGAAATAGTTATTCCTTCTGCACTTTATGCAAACACTCAGCCCAAGTGTAAGATTAAAGTCTATTTTACAAACAACTCATCCCTATCATGATTTTTTTTAAACAAAATTGAGGATTGGAGAGAGAGAAATTATGTTTCAAAACTTATCACACATTTGTTATTAAATTCTAGACTCATCAGTTGTTTTTAAGTTTTTGCCTACATTTTAGAGTAACCCTGCTTGTTCCTGTGAACCAACCAGTAATCTCCAACTAAAGCTCAGAAGGAGTAAAAGGGATGGGTAATGTCAAAATTTTGGATCAACATTCTAGTTCTGAGCAATTAGCCTGCAAATCCTGCCAGGTGATGGGAATAAATAGGATGCCCATCACCTGGAGGTTTCCTTTTTGGGAAAGTAAGACCAAGGGAGCTAACCAAAGCCAAGCCCCATGCACCCAAATCTTAGCAAAGATAACTATAGCCACCAGTTATCTGGGCATGTCACAAGACGCCCTCTTCCTTGTTGGAGGAGGACTCAATTCCACAGCCTCACCTAAGCATTTGGCTTATAATAAGAAATCCATGCTAGCCTCTGAGACACATTTTTGTCCCAAACTCAATTCTAAGCTTCACATCAAAGCCCTGGGGGCAGGGGGAACTGGATCTGAAGGACCCAGATGCAGATGATAATGCAAGTTAAAAGGCACAATGCAGATGAGTGTGACTGATTCCTGCTGAATAAGCCAAGCTTCCCATTTCATGAATAAAGGTCACACTAGTATCCATGGCATAAATGAGGTCTGGAGAATCCAAAGGCTATGGACAGCAGGGGAGATAGGGTATACAAGGGTAAAAGCGAATACTCTCACCCCCAGACCCCCCTGTTAACACAAGTGAAGACCACTTTGACACCCACCCTGTCACAGTATCTGGGACTTGGGGATACAAGGAAGGAGGAATCTGCTCCCCTTTTTGTAGATGAGTAGCCATTCATCATTAGTCTGTATACCTTTCTTTCTTTTTTTTTTTTTTTTTTTTTTTGAGACAGAGTTTCACTCTTGTTGCCCAGGCTAGAGTGCAGCAGCGTGATCTTGCCTCACTACAACCTCCACCTCCTGGGTTCCAGCAATTCTCTTGCCTCAGCCTCTCGAGTAGCTGGGATTACAGGCATGCACCACCATGCTTGGCTAATGTTTGTATTTTTAGTAGAGACAGGGTTTCACCATGTTGGCCAGGCTGGTCTCAAACTCCTGACCTTAGGTGATCTGCTTGCCTCGACCTCTCAAAGTGCTGAGATTACAGGCATGAGCCACTGCACCCGGCCATCTGTACCCCTTTCAAATGCATCCTGAGTTTCTAGGACCCCTTTGAAAAAAAAGACCCTTCTTTTTTCGTGTTTCTCCTCTGTCCTCTCTTCACAGATAGGTAATTGTGTTTCCGTACTATGGGACACCTCACCCAGATGCATTCTCCAAACTGGGGAGAGTTAATTTCTCAAACTTTAACCTAGTTTGCTTAGGATTGGGCTCAGGGGAAGGGAACCCAGAAGCCTGACATGCTGGCTAAAGGGTAAAAGTTTTTTTTTTTTTTTTTACCAGTTAGGTTTTTGGCCTCCCTCTCCCTGTGCAAACTGGTAAAAGGCCTCAGAATTTTTTAGCTGTCCTCAACCCCACCCCCATTTTGTTTTGATACATGTTTTCTATAACCTGGTTTATTTCTCACCTTCAGGCAATCAAACTCCAAACGTTCATGCAACTGGAGACTTGGATGAGGGCCCCTTTTGCCAGGGACCCTTTGATAGGCTTCTGAGGGAGCTCTGACTGCCGTTTTCCCCAAGCAGTGCCCCCTGTCAGCAGAAAGCAGTTCAGATGAGTCTTTGTCCTTATCCTTATTCCAACAGCAGTTAGGTATACTTCTTTAGAGGGGGAAATGATAGAGACAGGAGGCAGCCAAGGGTCCCCCAGTGAAACCCTGCCTTCAAGCCTAAGATAGCCTGAAGGCTGAAGAACCACACTGCTGGTCCGGGATGAAGCCTGCCCTTTCCTGACTGATTCTTTCTGAATAGTGCCCACCTGTGCACTGGGAGGATGGGATGGAACCTTGGAAGTGCATGTTGTTTGCAGTGGGGAGGAGCCTGGCCTCTCCTGTTCCTGGGTGGGAACTTGGGATTCAATCTGTGAGATGGGAGACCTGCAAACAGGACTCTATCTTGCTTTGGTGAGAATTAGTTTTCCTTTTCATCCAATAAATTCCATTCCCCCTCACCCTTCAAAGTGTCTGTGTGCTTAACGTTTTCTGGTCCTGTGACAAGAACCCGGTTTTTTGTTTTTTGTTTCTAAAACAATGGGTGGAACCTGACGGGAGGTAATTGAATCATGGGGGTGGGTCTTTCCCATGCTGTTCTCATGACAGTGAATAAGTCTCACAAGACCTGACGATTTTATAAAGGAGAGTTCCCCTGCACACGTCTTCTTGCCTGCTCTCATGTAAGATGGTACTTTGTCCTCATTCATCTTCTGCCATGATTATGAGGCCTCCCCAGGCATGTGGAACTGTGCATCAATTAAACCTCTTTCCTTTATAAATTACCTAGTATCAGGTATGTCTTTATTAGCAGTGTGAGAACAGACTAATACAATGAGTAAACTCATTTTAATTAGTCTTTCTAGAAAAGGTGCCAATCTGAAGAATTTCTTAAATGAGTAACCACAGCATAGGTTATAATGCATAAAATATTGAAATAATCCATGAGTCCACAAATACATTTAAAAACATTTAAAAATTAGGAACATCAGAAGATGACGTTCTTTTATACAAATGAGTGCCAACAAATAAATATAGAAAGAATGCTAGAAACTGAAAAGTCATCATCTTGAAACATCATAAAAGTAATTATTTCAGACAGGATTCATTGATTTATGCTAATAACATTGTGTGAAAGATCGGGAACAAAATACTCTAACCTAAAATAACTGCCTCTACAGATTACTTGTTAGTTACAAAAAGAAAAAGGTACATTTACAAAGTAGAAATTTTGCAGACATCTCCTTAATCAAGAGATCAAAATTACTGTCACCAAATATAGGAGAACCTGAGATCACATGCTTCCTGATATGTACACGCACTGTGAAGGATACAATATCACCTATGCATTATTCCTATTGTAGGTATTTGACCTGAACTTAATCATGAAGAAGAAAACAACTCTTAACTGAGAGGCATTTTGCAAAGCCTCTGAGATGGATACTTTGAAAATAGCAATGTAATGATAAGACAAAAAAATAAAAAAATTAATTAATGTCTAGGGAAATTTTCTGGATTAAGGGAGACTAATAGACATGCAAACTAAATGTCAGCTGTGATTCTTGATTGTGTTCTGGATTAGGAAAATTAAACATCATAAATTTAATTTGAGGAAGAATTTTGAAAATTTGAATATGAATTGCATATTACATAAAGTGCTGTATAAAAGTTAAGTTTTCTAAATGAGATCACTATATTGTATTTATGCAGGAGGATATCCTGCTTAAGAGATGGGAAGTTCATACATTTAATAATGAAGATACAGCAAATGTGGGAAAATGTTAAAAATCATTGAATTAAAGTAAAGTATATGTGGGTATTCCTTGTACAATTTTTGTAACTTTGCCATAAGTTTGTACTTTTTAAAATAAAATGTTTGAAAAATTACAATAATTTTCATCATAATATGCAATAAAAAGGACAAACTTCTTTTTTTGAAAAAATTTTTTTTGAGGCTGAATCTTGCTCTGTCACCTAGTCTGGAGTGCAGTGGTCTGATTCCAGCTTACTGTAACCTCTGCCTCCTGGGTTCAAGTGATTCTCATGCCTCAGCCTCCTGAGTAGCTGGGATTACAGGTGTGCACCACAAGGCTGAGCTAATTTTTGTATTTTTAGTAGAGATAAGGTTTCCCCATGTTTTCCAGGCTGGTCTCGAACTCCTCACCTCACGTGATCTCCCCACTTTGGCCTCCCAAAGTGCTCAGATTACAAGTGTGAGCTACTACGCCCAGCCCAGGGACGGACTTACTCACTCATTGAGCATCATTTTTCTTTGCAGTTGGATAGCTAAACAAACAAAACAGGCAAAAAGTCCTTCCTTTGTAGAACTTCCATTCTTTCTCCTTATTTCTGAGCTTCCATTGTTAAATAGATGAGGGTGGGGAATGATAATAAGTACTGGATTTGATATTTTGTAGTCTCTTTCCTCACTACATGGAATTATTTCAGATGCATGAATTTGTTTGCTTTGAATAGATATACCGTGGCTAATTTCTTCCACCTAGAGCTCTATAAAAATATTGTAATAAAAACACTAACCAACAACACTTATGCATAGTCCATAACAGAAATGGCCCTATTAGTTCTGTCTTTTGTATTATTACAGACCCAAAGCAAGACACCACTGAACTATTTATTACTTTAAAAACATTCTAAGCTGTGAGGTTGCTTTGGTTTTTCCTTCTGAGATTAAGAATAAAATATCTATTTCAGATTTTTAAAAAAGCATTCCTTAGATTGTCTTTGTTTGCAGGCCTTGTAGGCACTATCTTGTTTGTCTAAATCTAAAAAGATTAATTATATCATTATTAATGGTCATGTATCACCAACAGAAAATAAAATATAAAATTTTAATTTAAAGCTAAATTAAAAAGTATTAGTCAAAGATTTTTTATACCTTTAGATATATGCCAATTTAACAGAATCAAAATTTGTATTAAAACACATAAGACTTTTTAAAAATAGAATTAACAGGAAATATTTGACTAACACATATTTATGTGTCTATATAACTGGTAATGGGTCAGAAAGAATATACTCCTCTAGACACTGCATATTGTTTTTAATGTTGCTTAGGCTCTAATTTCAAATGCAGGGTCAGATAAAAGTTGGTTGCATTGTTTTTCTATGCATGCTTTTTAATTTCATCCTTTGCATTTATTAACACTAATAGGTAGTTTTTTTTTCTTGTTATTGTTGATGCTACCTGTTCAGAGGTATTGGATAATAATTATTCAGAACTCTAGATTTTCACTGGGTTTTGTTTTGTCATGTAATTACCTACCTTATGTGTGTAGGTATTTGGGTGGTATGGGAGAGAGGAAGAAAATTTGAAATCTATCTTTTTAAATTTTTTTCTTATTTTTTTTTACAAGTCCCTCTCAATGAAAATCTACCTTTGTCAAACACATTTGCTATTCAAAACAACTTTAATGACCAGATGAAGTAGAAGGAAGGAAAGTGGGCACTTCCATATTTGTTTTTAATGAGATATCTTAGAAAGTTAAGGAACTTGAGGTCACAAAGGAGAAGCAAGGTATAACTGTGAAGAGGATACTGGCTTTGATTTCAATTAGGGGAGATGAAGGAAAATGGAAGGAGATTTCCTAACTCAACAGAGAAGATGGAATTTAAATTTACCAAAATCAGTAATAAGGTAGAAGTGAGAATGAAGTACTTTCAAAGCTAAAGACAGAAGGAGAAAAGTGTTTAAAAGCTAATTTTAAAGTAAAAGAGAGATGAGGAGTTACCAGATTTGTGTGAGAAAGAGCAAATACATTTACTGTTTTTAAATATCATAGAAGAGAGGAACAAATTTGAGTAAATAAGTTTAAGAAGAAGCTTGCTTTCCCCTTATTATTTGTTAATCAGCAAGATAGTGGGGAAAATGTCTTCAGGACATGTCAGAGACCTTTATGGCAGCCCCTCCCATCACAGGCCCAGAGGCCTAGGAGAAAAAAATGGTTTTGTGGGCCAGGACCAGGGTCCCCCTGCTATGAGCAGCTTAGGATCTTGGTGTCCTGTTTCCCAGCTGTTCCAGCCATGGCTAAAAGGGCCAAGGTACAACTCAGGCCATGGCTTCAGAGGGTGCAAGCCCAAAGCCTTGGCAGCTTCCATGTGATGTTGAGCATGTAGGTGCACAGAAGTCAAGAATTTAGATTTGGGAACCTTCACCTAGATTTCAGATGATATATGGAAACACCTGGATGTTCAGGCAGAAGAGTGCTACAGGGGCAGGGCCCTCATGGAGAACCTCTGCTAGGGCAGTGCAGGAGGGAAATGTGGGGTTGGAGCCCCCACAAAGAGTGAGAAGAGGGCTGTGAGAAGAGGGCCACTGTTCTCCAGACCCCAGAATGTTAGCTCCATCAATAGCTTGCACCATGCACCTGGAAAAGCTCCAGACACTCAATGCCAACCCATGAAAGCATCCAGGAGGGGGGCTATACCCTGCAAAGCCACAGGGTTTGGAGCTGCCCAAGGCCATGGGAGCCCACCTCTTGCATCAGCATGACCTGGATGTGAGACATGGAGTCAAAGGAGATCATTTTGGAACTTTAAAGCTTAATGACTGCCCTATTGGATTTTAGACTTGCATGGGCCCCATAGCCCTTTTATTTGTGCCAATTTCTCTCATTTGGAAATGAGTGTATTTACCTAATACCTGTACTCCGTTGTATCTAGGAAGTAACTAACTTGCTTTTGATTTTACACACTCATAGACAGAAGGGACTTGCCTTGTCTCAGGTAAGTCTTTGGACTACAAAATTTTGAGTTAATGCTGAAATGGGTTAAGACTTGGGGCACTTTTGGGAAGACATGATTGGCTTTGAACAATGTGAAGACATGAGATTTGGCAGGGGCTAGGGGCAGAATGAAATGATTTGACTGTGTCCCCACCCAAATCTCATCTTTAATTATAGCTTCCATAATTCCCATGTTCTGTGGGAGGGACCCTGTGAGAGTTAATTGAATCATGGAGGCGGGTCTTTCCCATGCTGTTCTCATGAGAGTGAAACAGTCTCAAGAGATCTGATAGTTTTATGAAGGGAAGTTCCCCTACACAAACTCTCTTGCCTGCCTCCATGTTAGATGTAACTTTGCTCCTCTTTCACCTTCCACCATGATTGCGTGGTCTTCCCAGCTATGTGAAACTGTGAGTCAATTAAACCTCTTTCTAAATTACCCAGTCTTGAATATGTCTTTATCAGCAGTGTGAGAACAGAATAATACATAATTTAACCCTAAAGAAGAGCTCTTTAATGGAGAAATTCATATATCATGAAATTTATCCTATTCCTGAAATCTTTACTGTGATAACTGAGGACCTCTAGCCAGATTCCTTACTTACATCACTTGGAATTAGTTTGCCTCCGTATAAGACTAGTTTGAACTTATAGTGCTGAGTTTACAAGTTTCCAAATATATGCAAAATATACGTAATCATACTGATGATTAATGGTGAGATGCTTATAAAATGGTGAGTCTAACAAGCTCTATTAGGTACAGATACATGCAATCACTGAATTCTGTCAAGAGATGATGCCCTTTATGCACAATAATGCACATTCTTCCATTTATTATTCAATATAATAAATTCTAACAATTTTCCAAAAGTGTTCATATAAAAAATAATCAGACTTTATGTTTTAGTAAGTTGTTTGTTTTCAGTAATCATTTATTCTTGAGCAGATATTTTTTGGTGTTTTATTTTGTCATGTTTATTGGCTATTATTTCTGTTAGAAACAGCTTCTGTTACTAAGAAAGAAACACCGACAAGGGAAGACACCTTTCCCATAAAAAAAAATTTATTCCAGCTGCGTTTTGATTTGAAGTTGAATAAAGACAAAGGTAAAAAGAAAAGCTAAGAAGACGTTCCCGGGTGAGTCATTGGAGTGTCAACTAGCCTGGTCAGGGGCTGCTGCTTAACTACACATATTTGATAGGAAGTGTCCCTTTAACTGTGAGAAAATGGTTTCCTAATGATACTTTTTGCTTTTCACTCATGAAATCACTCTGGGTTAGCTTCTCATCAGTCCATAAATGCCCATACCTGGTTCTGTCAACATTTTTGGTTTTCAGATTATGTGCTTTATGAGGCAAAACATAGCAACACAAACATTTAAATTGCTTCCATGTTTTACAACCTCAACTGCTGTATTTTATATAAAGGGCACAAAATGAATACTGTTATTGATGAAAATTGGGTTACCCTGAGGACTCTTGCTTAACTGAAATCACAAATGGAGCAGACAGAAAAATCAAAAGTATATGCTGAGAACGGTGAGTAAAGAGTGAACTCCTCAGAGCAGTAATATTTTTCATTTCTAGAGGCCAGAAGTAAGAAAAGAGAGATTTTTTTTCTTCATTTGGGAAATTTGATTTCCAATGTTACTTGAACACAATATAAGTAATATAAGTTTTAAAAATGAATAGTTTTACTTAGAAAAAAAGTTATTTGTATGAGGGACTCAAAAATAGTTTTAAAATATTACTATATGCCAGAATCTGATTTTGTTTCTTTGTTTTGTTTTATTTCTTTTGGTTTCTATTTATCCTGGGCCTGCAGGTTTTATTTTTTAAATGTAACAAAGCTGATTTGATGTTCCTCAAAATGCTTCTATGTTGATCAGCACTCAATGCAAGGTCTAGTTGTCATAATGACACTGTATATACTCCAGTCAGGAGAGTAAGAAGTTTCTGCTTTGCAAACTAGTGGGCCATTTATTCAACCAATTTTAATCTTCCTGACAGTCATACATTTACCTAAAACAATAATAAAAAAAACTCTATTAAAACACTAGAAAATAGTTGGTATTACTCCAGAAAGGCCAAACCAATTGTCAAGGATTAGATGTATATTAAATGGGCTGATTTTTGACAGGCAAACTTGAAAGTTAAATGTTTTGGGGTAATGCTTGCAACTAGCCACACTTTGCTTGTCAGTAACTAGTTACTACATTAGTCTTCCCCTTCTAATAGTTTTGATCCCTATTCTAGGAATGGTACAAGTTATCCAGAGACTGAGTTGTTCTTTTATCAGAGTAAATTCTTCGCATATGTTTGCAAGTCATGACTAAAGAATACACAAAAGAGCATATTTAAATATATTTTGCTAATTAGTAACAATAACTTTTTTCTTGTTTCTGATTTTTCTCTGGGATTATGCCAGTTACTTGATACATGTTCATTAATTTTATACTAAAAACAACATTAATAACGGTGCTATTCTAAGATTTTAGTCCAACTTCAAGCTAATCATATTAATACAAGCTATCCTGCTTAGTGAATAATAATCATAATATAATTTGTAAAATAATAATAATATAATTTGTAAGTGAATGAAATGGACTCCCTTAGAAAATGTTAATAGACACCTTTTTATAGCATATGTCCTATAACTGAATAAAAAGCTTAGCTAATTGATTGGTTATTTATGTTGTATTAAATAATGATTTAATAGTAAATGAAGCTTGAAACATCTTGTAAGTAAATTAATGCTGGATAGTTGAATACCTATATTCCAAAAGTATTATTTTGGCAAAGGATATAAAAGTTAATTCACCTAATTATGAACATATATAAAGCCATTAAGAACTAATTTTTTAAGATACTTTTAAAGCTTTTTAAAATTCCTGAATATTTTACTATTTACCACATCACCACTACATTAGCAGAATAATAAAAATAGCTAATACCCTTGAGTACTTATTATGATCTAGATAATGTGCTAAGCTCTCTCCAGGTATTATCAACAAATTTAATACAACAAATTCATAAGGCAGATACCATTGCTGCCATTTGACAGAAAAGGTATAAGACTAAGAAACTTGGCTAAAGTTGTGCAGGTTATAAGAGGCGAGGAATGGACCGGAAGCCTGATCTTCCATTGTGAAGCCCATCTCATGCTCTTAACTATATTGAACCTTTCCCTCCACAAAGGGATTCATTGCCTCTTCTCCTATGAACAAATGGAAAGAAATTTAACCAAAATAAAATTGTCAACATATCATATATTGCCAAAAAAATTTAGTGTTACCTTCCCTGGTTCTTACCAATGAATATCAATAAATATTATTGATTGATTCCTGATAGACTTGAAATGATGAATTAATTCCATGAAGAGGTAGAAAATAGATTACTTAACTAATACTACAACTGAACACTGAACATTCTGACTAAACAACCAACAAAATATAAAATAGTTGTACATTAAAGAATACGAGAATGAAAGTTACATTTACCATAAATTATACCACCATAGGACAAACATTAGTTAAGAACAGATTACTTTTAGCCATACTTAGGACTGTCAGAGGAATCAGCCTCATTTTGTTCATGACTTCTAAAGGACTTTCAGAGAGAAAGAGCATTTTAAAAATAAGAGTTAATATTTAAAGTTTATGAATTGTTGTAACCAACTTGGTTTTAAAGCTGGAAGTCACCTATTAATACCATACCACTAACACATTTACATTAATAATAGCCGTTCTATGAATAGCATTAGCATCTTCTCAATAAACCCATGTAGCCAACACTTACACTTCTTGATTCCTGAATAAATCATGCAACAAAAGATGAATTTTTAGTTTCTATGAATTACAAGTAAAAAGAGTCACCTCTTTAAATTATGTGAGTTGTGTTTTTTTACGGATAGCATTAAGGTTTCCTAATTACTTTTTTTTGTTTAATCATTTTATGGGCAAAACCTTAAGGACTCTTAGAAAAGATAAAGCTTTGCCTTTCAAAGAAACCACTGCCATCTCCCACTGAGCGAAAGAAGTTTGACCATGACTTTGCCATCTCCACTTCCTTTCATGGGATACACAATATTGTTCAGAACCGGAGCAAAATTCGCAGGGTGCTCTGGTTGGTGGTGGTTCTGGGCTCAGTCTCACTTGTGACATGGCAGATCTACATTCGCTTGCTCAACTACTTCACATGGCCAACCACAACGTCCATTGAGGTTCAATATGTGGAAAAGATGGAGTTCCCAGCTGTGACATTTTGTAATTTGAACAGGTAAAAATTACTTTTTTAAAAATAATTAGTTCCTATAAATTTGCTAGTATAATCTTTCTTGGATGACTGACAAAGAGTTTTCTCATGTGGAACTTATCATATGTAAAACCACTGAATTAAATTGCACTTAAATTGCACTCAAAAGCACAAATTTAAGGGAGCAAAGAATTCATTAATTTCTTCTTTCACTTATTTTCCATCTTTTCTTCCTTCCTTCCACAATCATATTCTAGGTAACATCCCAAATCCTATCATTAAATAGATGTAAAAGAGATGGGGGTTTCACTACATTGCCCAGACTATTCTCAAACTCCTAGGCTGAAGCGATCCACCTGCCTCAGCCTCCCAAAGTGCTGAAATTATAGATGTGAGCCACTGTGCCCAGCCAGATGTAAAGTCTTGATCCCTGCATATTAGAAGTTCATTAATTAGCAGAAAAGAGAAACATCAACAATCATAGTGCAATATGGTAATTGCACAACAAAATAAAACAATGTGCAAGGGCTCTGAAATCCCACAGAACAGATTAATAGTCTCCATCTTGGGTGTTATGGAAATCTGGGTATTAAAAGATGATTACAGCTTTCTAAGTGGAGATGAAGAAGAAATGGAAGAGGGAACTACTTTGCAAACACATAACGATATAAAATGTTCTGGTGTACATATGATGAGCTACTTAATGTAGTAGAGGCAAGGCCAGCTCCACGGGTCTGTGATCAGTGCGGCTGCAAAGAGCCCTGAGCTTAGAAAAGGGTTACACTTGATTCAATGCTCTACTGCCAGTGTCTTGAGTCCTTGACTGCAACTCATTCCAGAAACCTGCAGTCCATTGACTGTACACCAAATCTGCTAAGAGGAGGACAACTTTCCACCACTAGGCTTCCAGACAATGCTTTGTAATTGCCTGTGGTGAAGCATGAAATACCATACATAGGATTTTTGCTGAGGAAGGGAGGGCTTCTTAAGACTCACCACTTAGCTATTAGGGAAGTCACTCAGCCTTCTTAGTGTTAATTTTCATATTTATAAAATGAGATAATATCATCTACTTCACATATTTGTTGTTACATTAGATAAGGTAATAAGTACTCCATTGTGTTTCATTCCTGGGGGACTTCTAGAACAGGTGTTCAATATATAATAGATGTTATAGCCCGTTTGTATGATTGTCAATATTTCAAGAACTCAAGATATGTATCAAGGGTCCTAACAGTCGAAACAAATCAATCCTTTCCCCCCAAAAAATGATTTTCAATACTATTGCTTCATACTGTTTTAAGTAGCATGTGTTCTAACAAAAACAGAGATTGGTTGCAGTTATCCTTGACTGAAATAAAATGTAGATATTACTTCCAGAATGGCAAAGTGAGGAAGTCCATAAACTCTATCCCCTTCAAAACCAACCATAACTGGTGAAAAAATATTTATCTTAAAAGGCAAACTTTTCTTTTAAAAAAGAAACATTTAAATAGTATCTCCTCAAATTCAAGTCTACTGGAACCTCAGAATGATCATATTTTAAAATTGGGTCATTACAAATATAATTACATAAGTTGAGGTTATACTGCACTAGGATGAGCCCTAAATCCAATGACTGAAGTTCTTATAAGGAGAAGAGAGAACACACAGAGATACAGCAGGGAAAATTCATGTGAAATAGAAGCAGAAATTGATAAGGTTTTGCCACAAGCCAAGGTATACTTAGGACAAAAGGCATAAGACATAGAGAAAACAAAAAGTAAAACGGCAGATGCAAATCTAACTATATTACTAATGAAATTAAATTAGAATGGATTAGACAATCCAATTGAAAGGCAAAGGTTATCAGAATGGATTTTTTTAGAAAGATCCAGCTATATGTTGTGTGCAGGAGACACAATTTAGATTTGAAGATGCAAATGGGTTAAAAGTAAAAGAATGGAAAAAGGTATGTCAACCTTCAGAAAGCTAGAGTAGATATCCTAATCTCAGACAACATAGACTTTAAAGTAATATATGTTACCTGATATAAAAAATTGTCATTTTATGTTGAATAAATGATCAATCTATCAGGAGATATAAGTTAACCTATATAGTTAGATTTTTCAATACCCCACTTTTAGTAATCAATAGAACAACTTGACAGAGAATAAACAAGGAAATAGAAGACACAGAAGACTTAAACATCTTTATAAACCTACTAGACTTTGCAAACATCCTTAGAACACTCTACTCAACAATAGCAAAATATGCATTCTTCTCATGTGCACATGGCACATTCTCTTAGAATGGACCATATACAAGGCCATATACAAGGTAAAGTAGGTGGAAAATATTTTAAATTATTCAAATATGTTTATCAATCACAATAGAATAAAATTAGAGGTCAATAATCAAAATTAATTTGGGATATTCACAAATATGTAAATATTAAACAATGCACACCTAAATAACAAAGAAGTCAAAGAAGAAATCACAAAAAAAATAGAAAATACTTTGAGATGAATGAAAATGAAGACACAACATACCAAACTTTTGAGATGCAGCTAAAACAGTGCTTATAGGGAAAGTTGTAACTGTAAACAGCTAAATTAAAAAGAAAAAGAAGTCTAAAAATACTTAATAGCCTATGATCTAAGTACTTTTATAATTTTGGGTATGGAAACCTAATCCATTTTGCATAGCTCAAATCTCAAATCAATGATTACAGCTTTTGTGTTAGATGACATTGAAAAAAAGATAATATATCCTAGTTCAGTTAGATATAAGTATCCAGACCAACAAAAGAAGATTTAATATTTTAGAGGCTATAATGATAGAACAGGAAAATTCTTAATTATAAGAAAATTATTCTTCCTTAGGGAACAAAAAATTAAGACAATATCAGTTTACAGGCATGAAAGGTATCTCCAGCTCCCAAAGTATAATTTTACAGAAAGATAATTTGGATTCCCACTTTAAACATTATACTCAGCATTGCTCAGCAAATTAATGACAGATCAGGAAAAGTACTCAAGCTATTTTCTAGTTCTCAGAGCCAATGATCTTCAAATATTTTAGTTAATGTGCTATATAAAAAATTTGAAAAACTGTGTATTTAACTTGCATATGTCTACATTTTTAGCCATAACCCTAAGTATATTTATTTATTATTTTTAGGAGGTGAAAAATATTGTATTTTATATCAAATTATATTATCACAAACATAAGTATTATATATCATTATATTTATGAGATAAAATAGGATAAGGATTTACTGTAATAGGAATAAACATTTCATATATTTTCATGAAATTTTAACTGCTTTATTGACTAAAATACACCAGTAGAAATCATTTAAATTTTTATCTGTGGATTATATTCAAATAACCCAAAATGTGGAAGCCTTAACAAATAGTCTAGTTACATTTAAAATAACAACTTTCATTATTCTACTTAAGACTTTGTCAATTCAGTCTTAAGCAAGGGCCAAATACCCTGTGTCTAACGCAGAACTTCACTCTAGCTACAAATATGTGTATGACAAGCCAAGACAAGATTTTAGGAGCTTTGATTAATTTTTAAAGGAGTCTTCCCCTGAAGCAAAATACAATTTGTATTCCTATGTTAGGAGCCCTGAGGTTGTTACACACCAGTATGCATTCTGTGTTAAGATTTGTGATGGGTGACAAGTTAATACTTTTCTATATATGGGAGAAGAACCATTGTAAAAAGAGGATGGAAACATTTATTTCCTTAAAATTCTCTGTGCAGGAGAACACTCAGACATAGGCACATTCTAGTTTGAAGCCCATTGTTCTAAGTTGCATTTTCTCTAATTCTTTTGAAAAAAAAGTAAAGCTTAACACTGTAATTTAATTAGAGTTTACCAAGTTAGAAACTGGACAGGTCTGCTGATAGATCCCAATTTCTATACTTTTTTTGTTTAACCACCTTGTGAGTAGAAAATGGACACCTGAGATGAAGAAACTTTGCCAAGTGACTTTGGATTATAAGAAAGGGTTTACTTTTCACAATTGGTACCAGGACCCTATACCAAGTGTATGTCAGAGATCCCTTTTTAATACTTCCCTCCTCTATATGACAAAATTTTTTTGGTAATAGTCATGAAATCAAACAAATAATGAAAATGGCCTATATATTCATGTCAATAAAAATGTTAAAAAATAAAATAAACAATACAAAAATAAGAAAAAGTAATGCATTAATACTTTTTGGACACTGACATATTTTTGTTTTTTAAAGTTTTTAAAATCTGTTCCAGTTGTGAAAGTAAAATAAAATCTCAGGACCCCCAACTCACGATGCCAAAGGGAAAAGTTAAGCTTGGGAACTGCGTCACACACAACTGCTTCCCATTTTGTTCCTAAATAGATAACTGCAAAGATAGAAGGCACATACCTTCTCAGGGGCCCTCTCTTACAATTTTCTCACAGAAAATCTCCTGCGGGCCCCAAGATCCTTACTGTAAAATGAAGTTGTACTGAATTTCACCCTGAGAATATAAATCAACAGCTTATCTTCACAGGTACAGGACAAATATAGAACTAGAAGTCATCCCTCTACTCACCTGAGGCAAATGCGTATTTGACTTCTTCCTCTGGTCTATGTTTACTTTATCCTATATAAAAATGAAGATTCACTGAGCACCAGACAAACACATAGTTGACTATTCTACTACCCACTCCTTTCACAGGTAAAATGTAAATTCAGTGAAATTGATCAAAGCTTCAAAAGAATGCAACTGCTTGCCTTTATTATCCACCCTCCCCTTTTTGTTCTTTCCTTTTTCCCCTACTGCCCACGCTTTCCGCTTTAAATATTGTGTCTCCAAACCCTCTTAGGAAAAAGCATGGATCACAGATATTTCTGTGATTTTGTTTCTTTTCCCCAGGTTCATCCTCAACCTTAGCAAAATAAACCTCTAAAATGATTGGGGCTCCCCTCAGACATTTTCTTTAGTTTTACACAGAAATGAATAATAGCATTGTATTTCCATTTTTTAGCCTCTTTATGAATATTTGTCAACGACTTCATCAAAATTAACTTTATCCATGTATTGATGTTCCATAGCACAGCCATATTAGTCTAGTTTTACTTGTAATTGATTAAAGAATACTTATTAATTTTAATTTTCAAAAGTTTCTTTCACATGAAGCAATGGTTATACAAACAGAAAGACAAACTCCTAAGAATACAATTGGCAGAAATTCATAAAAAGTCACATTTCACAAAAAATTCCAGAAATTGTAATACTGTTTGTGACTTGGTTCTTTGGTATCAATTCTAGTGCTTTTCAAATGTCTTTGTGTCTAAAATTTTCACTAAAATATCTTTATAACAAAATTCATCAAAAATTTATATTCATTTGGTAAAAACTTCAGAATTTTATTTTCTTCCACTAAAATCAGAAATAATAATTGGATGTAGTGACTACTGATGCTATTTGATCCATTGTTTATGAGTAACTCGTATATTGGGTCTTCATGTTTATAATCACTGTGATTCTTTGTTTATTTCAAATTTGTTTGATGCAAGAAAAAATTGCTCAAGCATTTTTAACCAAAGGTAAAATCATTGCTTCTCATACAAATATAAAGACACAACAAAGGTTTCATTAGTTAATTAAAGAATGGTAAGACATTAAAATTTGCTCAAAGAAGAATACAAAAGGCAGACATTATTCCTCATTTTCCTTCTTCATAAAATCATCTGTAAAATGTACGAGAAATGGATCTGTTTTGGCAGGACTCAAATAAGGCCTGAGTCAGGCATCAACTTGGATTTTAGATGAAACTTACTCATTTGGGTCATATAACTTGGAGAAGTACATTTAGAACCATTGATATACATAAGAAAGACATATCTAATAACTGGTTAGCAGATGTTAAATTGTTTAAACAAATTAATATATTTTTGGTGTTATTTTCTTCTACTAGGCTCTTACCAGTTGTGTTAAATTAGAGTAAGTCAAATTCTAGCTAAGCAAGGTTTTTGAAAGGAAAACTTAGAAGAGTTTTGAAGTTCAATTTAAAATTAAAAATAAGCCAGACACAGTGGCTAGTGCCTATAATCCCAGCACTTTGGGAGGCCAAGGTAGGCAGATTGCTTGAGCTCAGGAGTTTGAGACCAGGCCAGGCAACATGGTAAAACTCTGTCTCTACAAAAAATACAAAAATTAGCTGGGCATGGTGGTGTACACCTGTAGTTCCAGCTATGTGGGGGGCTGAAGTGGGAGGATTGCTTGAGCCCAGAAGGTCAAGGCTGCAATGAACCATGTTTGTGCCTCTGCACTCCAACCTGGGCAACAAATTGAGACTCTGTCTCAAAAAATAAAATAAAATTGAAAATAAACTCAGTGCAAAACACTTTTGTTTTATGCAAAACAATATTTCTCACAAAAAATTTTCTTCCTTGGCTTAATATTGTTAGGCTTTATTTATTAAATTTAATTAATCTATATAAATTACTCTCATGGTCTCAAATATTATTAGTATAATAAAAAAAGCTTAAAAATATTTTAAGATGCCCTCCTATTTAACTTTTTTGTAGATTGTATTCATTGCTCCCATATGTATAGTAATTCCTTTATTTCTCTGCATAATCATTTTGAATATAATCCAATGAATATATTCAGGGAATACTGGCTCTGACTGTGCAGGATTTCACAGTTGTAGGGTTTTGGAGCAGATTGTTGGGAACCTGTCTGTCACTGGGAGTTGGAAACCTGAAGTAGCTTGGAGGTCCATCTCTCAATATAGGGTTTACACTGTACTTCTGCCAAAATCTGTTCCTGATGTAAACTCTTAATTCCTTAATGATCCAAGAAATACTTTTGACCAAGAAATGCAAGGTTATTAGATGTACTGTAGTTAGACAGAATACCACCATGACAGATGACCAATAGTGCCTTGGAATCAGGAAGTCCGAGGAGGATATTTACAGAGTTTTAGGACCTGGGCTAGCTTTGCAAGTATCAGAGCTAGTTAAGCAAGCTACAATATTAGTTATTGACTGTGAAAACAGTTTTTCATCTCTTAAAGAGTATGTAATGTTGGCTTGAGGTTGTTTCTCCATTTTTGTGTTTTGTGTATGCCCTACCTTGACTGAGAAAGGATTTAATATGGCTTGAATTTGAAAGAAAAATTATATGTATACATTGTGGGGGCCATGGGTGTTGGCCCCCTAAAGATAGGCTGAAAAATTAGTGACATGAGGCAGATTTATTAATAGAAGAAAAGGCTTACAATGATATTTAATGTGTATACACATGAGCCTTCAGAATAAAGCCCAACATCCCAACCGGATACAGAGGCTTATTTATCATCTTGAGATTATAGAAAGAATGTGGGCTCAGAACATTACTGAAAGCAGGTTTTAACACCAAGACAGGTTATACAGGTTATAGTAGGGAGAAAGGAAGAGGCTTGACTAGCAAAGGTGACCTTGTTATATAGATGAAGACTTCTTCAGAGAGACAAGATGGCAAATGTTTATTTTTAGACTTTTAAAGGTGTCAGAATCTCAATCTCTCCTATACCTAGCAAATGCCTAGCAAGAGGAGGCCCGGCTGCATTAATGGACGTTTTCTACAGATGCAAATTTTCCACATAAAAGACAGCTTTGCAAGGCCACTTCCGTTAGCTGACCCTGCAGCAGCCATTTCAAAATATGTCAAAAAATGTCTTTTAGAGTAAATATTTTTATTTTCTTCTCTCTTTATATATATGTATATATATACACACACATATAGATATATATTTATATATTAAATAAGATAATATAATATAAAGCAAAATAGAAATAAAATCTGGGACACAAAGGAGGTTCAGGTATGACATACAAACCACATACACCATATACTTACCAAGAGTGGAATATGCATTCCGTTCTATGCCTTTAGCAGTCAATTTAAAGAGAGAACATTTGTTCAGTTTCAAAATTTATAATATCTAAAATATGAAAGTCCTCATCATGTTTGTAAAGGAATGGAAGGCATGCAAATGAAGAACCATATGGAATGCAGAACAAAATTGCCCGGCAAGATAAGAGAATTAGAAAGTGATACAGTCGTTAAGTTAAATAGATTACTTCTGCTTTGGTGGCCAGAATGAATCATTTATTTAATAAGTACTTACCTAACACTCACTATATTCCAGGCAGGTGTCTAAAAATTTTAAGAAAAACAATTAATGTAATCATTAAAAGAACACTTTGAGGTAGGTTATACAGATTTTACAAGAGAGGAAACTTAAGTCAGAGGGAAATGAAAAAAAAATTTGCTAAGTCATACCATCAAGTGGCTGTAACAATTAGAACCTAACTGGAGAAACAGAATCACCATGAATGACAGAATAAAGGGCTTTTTTTCTAGGGATTAAGCCCCACTTCGTTGCAGGAGCTGGTTAAGCAGTCTTTGTAAGTCTTTCGCCTGTTCTTTGTGCTGGGGCTGAAGTAAGCAGGGCCAGCAGGAAGGGAAAATGGATATGAAGTCGGGGAAACAAATACAAGCTCAAAATGTAGGTCTCTTTTTCACTACCTCCAATCTTGATGGTGTGAATGACCTGCAGGATAGCTGTCATCTTTACCAGGTCGCACTCTTACCTAACCCAGTATTTGAAGAAGCTGAAGGAAAAGGTCACAAAGGAGCTGGAGGAGCTGTGGTCCTGGCTGCTGCCCGATACTAGCAAGTTGAGTCAGCAGATGGATTGCAGTGTGGGTGAGCTACCACAGCTCCTGCACGACAGTGAAACTCACATATATACAAGGATGGGAATGCTGGGAAATGCAGTTCTAATTTAGCTAAGCTGACACAGGACAAGGCCACACACAGGAAATCTGGCTCCTAAATGCATTTTTAACAACTATATATTCCCTCCTCTTCCTTTAAATTGAATCTTGAAGATCCATTAGGTGTCATCCAGATCAAGGTCTGGGGAATATTCTAGGTAAATGAAACTACATGTGCAAATACAAGATTAATTGCACAATGGGTCAAAGACTTCTTAGGCATCAAATTTTGCTTAAATGTCTTGCAAATAAGGGAGAGTGTGGGAGATAAGAAGAAGCTAATAGAATCTAGATGTTGGTATCTGTCTTCCAGATAATTATAAGTTTTCATTATTCTAACTATTGCCTTCATTCCTGCTAATAGGTTCCAAACAGATGCTGTAGCCAAATTTGGTGTTATTTTTTTCTTATGGCACATTGTATCCAAAGTCCTCCATCTTCAAGAAATTACTGCCAATTCCACTGGCTCTAGAGAGGCTACTGATTTTGCTGCAAGTCACCAAAACTTCAGCATTGTGGAATTTATCAGGAACAAAGGTTTTTATCTCAACAATAGCACTTTGTTGGACTGTGAGTTTTTTGGAAAGCCATGTAGCCCAAAGGTAACGATTTTCTATTCTTCAAATATAATCAAAGTAATAAGTTCCGTTACTGCACTGTTTCACATTGAGCTCCCACGGCATTTACTCCCATGGTGAATCAATCCAAATTTGCTTACAGATTCTATTTCATTAGCTCAGCCTTATGATATCAGGGGTATGGAATACACATGAGACAAATTTCCTCTTTCAAGCAGTTAGATAAGGAAAGATAGAAAAGAGAAAACTTGATTGCCTTTCTTGTAGTATAGTCCTTCCAAAAGAAAAACAATTTAACACAAGAGGATATTTTAATTTTTTTCATTCATCAACAAACAACCTATTCCAACATAGTATTTTTATAATCACCAAATATCCATCACTCTGCATATATGCTTATGGTATTGCATTAGAGACTATAGAAAATAAGAGGATCCCAGCATTTAACTATGAAAAATTTATATATTATTATTATATATTATATATTATATATAATAACTAGTATATATTATATATTATATATAATAACTAGTATATATTATATATAATAAACATTCACTCATAACAAATACAAAACAAATACATAACAAATACAAAATCCTGTTATTATTGTTTATAAAATTAATCTACATTTAAGATAAAGTACTAGATCTATCTGTAATCTATTAATAAAGAACTATACAGGCAATTTGATGCCGTATTTCCCGTATCAGCAATTCTGTAGCCTGTGTTGTTAGGGGAACCTAAGTAAACACAAATTCTTTGTTCTTCAATACAATTTCTTATGTTTTTGGTAGGCCGCCTTAGCACACAGTAAGCAGAAAAAAATGCCTGAGAGACATTTCACAGAGGTGAGGTTCTGGCCTAAACTCTTAACTTGGAAAGTAAGCTTTCTTATGCTGTTTTTATTCACCAACAAGTTTAACTTACCAACAAAAAATTTCATGTTAGAGAATTTTTTCAGTTGCATATTACAGAAACCCATTTCTGTTCTAGTAAACTGAAGACTAAAAGTAATGAATTGGCTTAATTAAGCAGGAACTCCAACAGTAGGTCTGGCTTCAAAAAATGCTGAACCAACGGACTCCAAGACTGTCTTTAAGATTCTGACTTTGTTTCCATCTCATAATTCTGGTTGGCTTCTTTCTGTATCAGTTCTCCCCACACCTCACCAAAATGGCTGCTGACTCCCCCTAGACTCATTATCAGAGTTTAGCACTCCAGTATCCACTTAATAATCTCACCAAAGACTCTAATTAGCTCCACTTGGGACACATATCAATTCTTGAACCAACCACTGAGGCAAGAAGGTGAGGTTTAAGCTTGGCCCAGCTTGTGTCCCATGCACACCTCTGTAGTGGTTGGAAAAGGAGGGTAAAAGGAGAGTAAAAGGGTCATGTGATTGACTGCCACACTGTGACCATACAGGTTACATTAGGCATAGCTCCTCCAAGAAAGGATGCTGAAGTAGTGCTCCACAGATAAAAACATGTTTCCATACATCTTCAGGAAAACATTAAACAAGTAATTTTTTTAAATGTTTTAAATACATGCTTAATTTTATATGAAAATGTCTCCTTTAAATAATCACATGCAAATTGACGAATGCATATTACCAAAAAAAAAAAACTATCACTGAATACACATATAAATCAGACTATTCTCTCTGATATTTCTGCAGTCTTGTTAGGTATTTGTGCTTTAAAAAAAAAGGTTATGGCAAACTTGAGAAGTGACAAAAATATCAAATTGATGGTTTTTTTTGGTTCATTTACATATTGGAGGATTTTGCACATGTCTTCACTGAATATGGAAATTGTTTTACTTTTAATCATGGTGAAACTCTCCAAGCAAAGAGAAAAGTGAGTGTCTCTGGAAGAGGTTTGAGCTTACTCTTCAATGTGAATCAGGTACTGAATTTTCTCCAGGTTCAAGACAAACGAGAATGTGTGGGGGTTTCAAAAACTTGATCAGACTATTGGGCCATATCAGATAGTTCCCACACATTGGATATTATTTCAGTTTTTGTTAATTTAGTCTAGACTCCTATGGATTTTATATAACTACTGGCTTAGAAATTAAACAGGCAAAATTTTGAGGCATAAACTGGAGATTTTTAGCTATCCTACTGACTTAAATTATTGACTCCAGGGAATGTTCATGCCACAAAATAAGAAAACCCAGAGATTCTAAGTTGCAATGTATGTAGCTATTTTAAGAGAACTCTTTGCATTGAACAATAATTTTAGAAATACGTTTATGTAAATATCACGTTTTAGAAAGAAACTCTACATACACATTTGACAAACTATAGAATGCATATCTGGAAAAGTGATGGAAAACATAATGGTTATATAAAGAATATTATATAAATAGATTTTGTCCAAGCCCAGCTTTTGGAAAGCTGAAATTGACCTAATAAGTTCTAAGTGTTTAGTCCTGGGAGGCAGATGTTCAAACACCTAAGAAATGCAGTGGTGTTTTCTTCAAGGGTTCCTAGTATAGCTCCCACCCAAGATTAGTTAATTCTGACCTTTTGTTTAAATAACTACTTCTAGTATTACACATTTTAAGGCATTCTACTTTATTATTATGGTTTTATAAAAGAGGATTGTAAAATGCTGATGGATTAAGTATCCAAAATCATACAATTAATGACAAAGATGAAAAGTAAAATTGATGTTCCTGCATTCACCTCCCAATCCAAGTGAATCATGCCATTGGCTACTTTTAAAGAATTTCCAGTAATGTACTCTTCATAGCTTCCTTTTGTATCCCATTCAAGATATTTTTCTTTACGTCCAAACATAACACTGCAAACTTTAATGCATGTACCTACATATACTTGTAATGTATTTGATTAATACTTTCGAGTCATTCAAATATTAGCCCTATGGTCAGTTCGAACATTATATTATCAATTTTTACAAACTAGAATTTTCCAAATATTTTTAGAATGCAATGAACATCTACAAATTCAATGCAATGTTCCATAGGTAAATAACATTTAGATATTTCTCCAGACTAGACAGTTAAGTGTTTCTTAGAGGGTTACAAAAGGGCCAGGAGAAATAGAGTTTTGAATTACAAATAGAATATTTAGTATGTTTGTTAAATGTAATTACATAGGCAGTTGATCCATTCATAGACGATATTCTTTATATTTATATTCTTAAGACTGTGCCTTCTTCTTATAGCCTAAAATTACAACTAATGACAGCCACCAGAAGTTTACTCTTAAATTTCTTCATCTGACAAAAGATTTATTAAAAAGAACATTAGTGTTAAAGAAATAGTGTAAATCTTCACTCTTATGGGAAAATGAATTTGAATTTAACATAAGGGCAGGGATTTTAATTGCAAAATGAAGAGGGCCAAATGATTTTCTAAGCAAATGAGTCAAAGAAAACAGCCAAGAGGGAAGCAACTAAAAGGCAACTAGGTGAAGAGAAGGCCAGAGGGAACAAGATCATTAACAGTAATTGTAAATACTTACCTGCACCTATCTAAGGTGAAATGTGATCCATGGAAAACTATAGAGGTCTTAAGCAATGAATGTCAATTGAGAAAAACGGTGAGACAAGTCTCAATCATTTTAGAAAGTTTATTTGCCAAAGTTAAGAACAGGCACCCATGACACAGCCTCAGGAAGTCCTGAGGTAGTCCGGGGTAGTCAGGGCACAACTTGGTTTTATACATTTTAGGAAGACATGAGACATCAATTAATATATCTAAGACATACATTGGTTTTATCCAGAAAGGTGGGGACAACTTGAAGCAGGGAGGAGGCTTCAAGGTCATAGGTAGGTGAGAGACAAATGGTTGCATTTTTTTTGAGTTTCTGATTGACCTTTCCAAAGGAGGCAATCAGAATAGGCATTCATCTCAGTGAGCAAAGGAATAACTTTAAATAGAATGGGAGGCAGCTCCCAGTTTGACAGAGCCCAAGATAATTTCCTTTCCCATTCCCCTGCTCCCTTTAAAAAAAAAATCTTTAGGAGAAAGCATTTTAGGAGAATATGAGTCTCTGGTCTCAGTTTTCATCTGATTTCTCATGGTTAGGATGGTTTATTACTAGATGGGTAGGTCCCAAAAGCTTATTTTTAGCAGATTGCAAAGTCTCATGTTCTATGAAGAGAAAATAGTGGGAGGAAGGGAGAAAAACAACAGCAAAAAAAAGAACAATACTGGAAATATTCATATAGGCCATGTTACTTTGAAGTCCGTACATCAGTAGGCAGGTATGAAAAGTGGCTTATGTATGTAAATAGGCTGCAGTTACTTTCTTCTAAAGTTTAAGTTGACTGGCTTCAGTTTGCCGGACTTTAAGAAAGCACAGCTTAGTTTTCAGTGACTCCAAATTAGGAAATATGGGGGAAAAAAAAGAAAAAAATTGAAAACATTATTTTGAAGGCTTGTAGCCAAGAAAAAATAGAATTTGGTCCAAACTGTAGAAAATAATAAAAATTGAAAAACACTGGGCAAGACTAGAATCTAACAACAGGTGTACCCTAGTTTTGGAAACATAATTTTTCTCTCTTCTCTAATCCTAACTAAAGGATTAATTAGGACATAAAATTTCCCATTTTTGCTAAAGACAAATCATGTTAGGACTAGTTTGCTTTATTTTACTTTGCCAAATTATTTGTATACAGTGCACCAAGAATAGTTATTTTTTACATAGGCTTTTAAATTGCCTTTGGTGGAACTTTGTTCCATAGAAGGAATGTCAGATAAGACTTTTTAAAAGCCGAGCCCAGCCGTAGATTTGTGCCATCAAGTACCTATGAGTTGGGTGAATCTCCTCGCCACTCGAGGTTCCAAGATAAACTTGGAGCTTCTGGGCCTGTCAGAAAGTGACATTCTTTACTTACCACAGGTCAGAAACCCTGTACAGGGACTCTGTACACAAAATATGAGGTCAGTTTTTCCAAGGACATTATTGGTTTCATAAGCCAAGTTTGATTCCTTAAAGGAAAGCACACCATTCCAGTAAAAGCCTTGGTAAAATAACCAGTTTCTCCAATTGTGTCCTGTTACAAGTGAAAACAGATTCTTATTGCACTTATGCAAATAACTGTATTGCCACAAGTTAAGAATATCCACAAATAGTTTCCAAATTCTGGAGAAATCAGGCAGACAGGATAAAGTATGCTCCACGTTTTGTTCATAGGAGTATTCTAAATTGTAGCTCAAAATAAAAGTTTTAAGACTCTGAAAAACAAAACAAAGGATCAGCAAACATTTTAAGTAAAAAGTAAAAAAGATTATTTGAGTCCATGCAGTTAATTCCTGTTCTGTTTAATACTCATGAACATTTTAGCTCTCCATGAGTCCTGAAAGTTTTTCCTCTTTTCTGATGTTACAATCTCCAAAGTTATCAGAAACCTGCATTTAAGGGCACCTGTTAGAGTTTTGTAGCTGATTATAAAAACACCTTCTAAAGAGGACCAAAACATGAGCACAATTGTCCTTGGATGAAAAAAGGTTTTAGGGCAGACATAGTCAAAGACACAATTGACAAGGAAATTTGTTACCTCAGTGGTACACAATAATTTTAACATAACAATTATTATTATTATTGATAATGTACACTAAGTCATATCAGAATTACAGGCCTTTCCATTAATTCTGGAACACTTACCAATAACATTTACATAAATACAGCCCAAATAAAACCAAACACCATTTCATATTTGACAATGCTTCCTGTATAATTTTATACCAAGTAAGCCAAATTATGTCATTTTTGGACTTTAGGGAAACTAATATCTTAAAGGATTAATTAGGTCAGAAAAAGACATAATTTATAATTTGATTTTAGAAAGATCTTCAAATATCAAAGGTGTAAAATACTTGATATTATGAAATAGGATTACAGGTTATTGTAAAGTCATTCATTTAACCAAAGTGATAACTCAAGGATTTTTTTTTAAAAAAAGAAAAAAACTTCATTCTTTGAGAGAGGAGACTTAATTTTCCAAATAAGAAGCCCTAATAAAAACAGCATGAAGCCAATTAAATTTGTTTTCCAAAATTTTGTAAACAATCTATAAAATTTAATCTTGACCATAAAATATAACTTCCATAAGCCTTTTATAACCTTTATGATCTTTATTAAGGAGTTAGTTAATGCTTCAAGAAAACCTTGTTAATCTGACACAGGAGTCCATATGCTGGTCTTGCATCATTGTGCCTTTGACAGTCGTGATTAATTTATAGAGAAACTGAACTTATTTTGTCTTTTAATATCGCCCATTGCAATCTCACATGCCCACCTCTTCCTCAATAGTCCCTAGGCCTCGAGGAGTTGAATGGCTTTAATTTCTGGCCCCACATCTCAAAAATGCATTTTATTTATTTATTTATTTTTTTTACTGAGACAGAGTCTCACTCTGTCACCTAAGCTGGAGTGCAGTGACATGATCTTGGCTCACTGCAACTTCCGCTGACTGGGTTCAAGTGATTCTCATACCTCAGCCTCCCAGGTAGCTGGGACTACAGGCATGCGCCACCATGCCCAGCTGATTTTTTGTATTTTTAGTAGAGATGGGGTTTCACCATATTGGCCAGGCTGGTCTGGAACTCCTGACCTCAGGTGATCCACCTGCTCAGCCTCCCAAAATGCTGGGATTACAGGTGTGAATTCCTGTGCCTGGCCAGGAATGCATTTTATTTTTATTGGAATCTGCTGTGGGGCCTGAAGATGAGGATTTAATTGCTGTTAGTGTTTAAGATTTAGTAGGACTTGGTATCCTTTTTAGACCCTGGAGTCAAAGCCCTGTAACTTAATGTCACAAGGACTTTAAAAGCACATACAGGAAGATACATGGATGTAATAACCTTAATTTGAAAACAAAAATTTTTATCTCAGTTTTTTTCCTAAGCAAACCAACACTTAATAATAATGTGACAACTTGATCATATTAAAGTTTTTGGTTTTTTAAAAAATAAATCCTTATTGTGACTTACACTGACTATTAATGACATGCTTGAACTTTCTGGTTTGACCTGAACACTTCTCCTTTCTTAAACAACCAGTCATTTTATTTTAGGACTAAATTTACCATATTATTTCTCTTTAAGCTGTCTTACCACAAAAAAACCTCCTTATTTTTATAGCTTTCTTTACATCTCTTTTTGTTTGCTTGTTCTTCTTACCTTGTTTTATACATAACCTTTAGATAAGCTTTGAATTAGACAAAATTTGTTTATGTTTTTTTATAAAGGACACACTTTTTTTTAGCAAGAATGTTTTTCTATAATATATATTTATTGGAAAATACCCACATAATGAAATATCTATTATTTAACTGAATATAACTTTATATTCTAAGTTACGACATGTTTGTCTACAAGTATTTATCCCTTACCTAACTATTTTATTTTAATTGTTCACCTAGATTATTTAGGAAAACTACGATAGTCATGATTTAAAGTTATGAAACTGCCATTGCAAAAATAAAACTGAGGCAGTGAAAAAGATACGACCTAATTGACTCCATCTTGCTTCTAACCTCCAAGCTGTCCTTGTTCATTCCTGGACTTTGGGAGGAACTGAGTTTATAGTTTAGGTTTGAAACAAAGACAATAGCAGTCCTTTCCCAAACAAACCTCCTTACTGCCTGTGGACTAGGCTGCCTAAAGCCACAAGATTAGAAATTATGGTAATTTTGAAAATTTAAGATGCAGCTATTTTCATTAAACCAATATCAATGTCTTATTTATTAAAAACTACACAAGTAATGATCATTCTGTTTGGGGCTGGGTTTACAGTTTTGTAATCTCTATGCCAAATTTTGACATTTTATAGTGTTTGGCAGGGATAAGTTGAAATAGCCTGATTAATAAACATAAACAAAAAAAGTATGCTGGCAATTCTTAAGACATTTCTGATATTACTTTACTAGTAATTTTAAAGCTAGCTTTTCTATTAAAGATTTTACTTAAGTTACATAAACTTGAAAAAGAATTTGAACTGTCTTTTCTTTTTTCCTGATAAAATATATGATTTAAACACTTTTATTTTTCTTTAAGCCAATTAATTAGAGCCCTTTTATATATTTTCTGTAGTGAAATATTGTGTATATGACATATAAATACATAGACATATTAGGTATGCCAATAAAGGTACATTTTATAGATTCATAAAGACCCTTTTATTATTTTTTTCCTATCTTAGACATTCAGATTCTTGATAACCTGTTTTACAACCCTAGGCAGTTGTTAGCTAAATAGCCTTAAATTTGCTTATTATAGGAAACAACTCAGGTGAAAATAAAATAGCAAACTTTATATCATAAGGTACAGAGAGAAAAAGTCTGTTGGTGCTAGAGGGAGATGCTTTTATTTTTCTTTGAGCCAAATCTAACATAAAATTATAGAACTCTATCATAATATTGTATAAGGAGACCAATCTTATTTAGATAGGGACTACCTATATTTTAACTGGATCTCTAAGCTCTGGGCAGAGCTCACATTGAATCCTGGGTCTCCAAAAAACGGTAGAATTATTTTGAGGTTAGACCCTGTGATGCTTTCAGAGTGCACTTAAATTTTTTTTTAACAAAGATATTTCTGAGTGTCTTAACTACACTCTTCCTTAAAAACCCAAGATTAGCCTCTGTTGCAATAACTATTTTAGTCAAAAGATCAGGTGAAAACGGAATTCAGTCAACTGAAGGAAAAAAAAAACTTTTGCTCAAAAAAAAGACAAAGTCTTAGGAGAGAAAAACAAAAAAAAAACCCACAAAAACCTGAAGGCCTTTTAAATACAAACATGCACACATGCACACATACACACACACATCTTGGATGTTAATCTTTTAATTAAGTTGACTTTGAAACACTGAGCTTCTTTAAAAAAATTCTTTTTAGACCTCATTACCATATTTCAGAAGTGCAGCCATTGCTCTTTCAGTTTGGTCTGGCTGATAAAAAGGTGGCTTTGTTATGTAAATAAAGCCCCTTTAGTAGTCAAAATAAAAAATCTTTCCTTTTTTTTTCCTCTTGATTGCTGTTTTCTTTCCACTTCAGAGGCCTTGTTCCCCATAGTTTAGAGTTCCCCTTTGGATTTGACCAAGTTGGGACACGTGTTGGACCCAAAATGTGCTGCTAGCAGACTTAGCTTTTCAGGGCTGTTATCCCTGAACAAGATTGGTCGTCCTGTGTTGCAGCTACCTGGCACAGTGTGTTAGGTGCTCAAGATGCAGCAGGGGTTGGCTCCTAACATGCACCTGCCAGCTGAGATTAGACCCTAAGTATATTCTTCTGAGGGGGATACTTATTTAGAGCCACTGCACATTTTAGGGAGCATTCCTCCCAGACACCCCCATGTGATTCTCAGTCACATGAGAATGCCCCAAAAGGCTTAGGGGAGCAAGGTGCTTTATTTCTTTGGAGTGGAAAATTCTATACTCATGAGCTAGAGGGTTCTGAGTTGGTCAAATCCAATGAGAGAAAGAACCAAAACACACACACACACAACCCCACAAGAGAGAAACAAACAACAAAACAGTTAAGCAAAACTAACAGTGATCACACAAATTATATGATTTCTGAGCGCTCTAAGTGTAAGCAGAAATTAACATCAGCTGGTTGTTAATGCTAACTTTAGTTCTTTAAAAAGAATTTGCAAGAAAGAATCCCAAACCAGTTTTCTTACCTAGTGATGGGGCCCAAGCTGAAAACTGCTCTCTGCCGATGCAGAAGCAGGTAGGTTCACATTCCTTGGTGGATGCAGTGGAAACTCCCACAAAAAAAGGAGTTTTTTTTGTTTGTTTGTTTTTTGTTTTTTTAATAGCGAATGAACCTCAGACCCCCAAATGAAAAACAATGGAAGATCAGGGATCCCTGGAGGAAAGAGTTCCTGGAGTTCAGCAATCGTCCTATTGGTTTGGGCTATAAGGTGCCCAAGCTGGTACCAAGCACTGATAGGCTAGCTGCTGCAGGCCAGGTCAGCTTCACTCAGGATCCCTTTGTGGTTACCAGACATCAATCAAGAAAAATGATGAGACAAGCCTCAATTATTTCAGGACTGTCCTGAGTAGACCCCACCTTGAAGGGACCCAAGATAGTTTCCTTTCACCGATTCAACCACTAAAGTATGTCTTTAATTTTCATACACTTTAGACAAAAAGAGATAGAAATATAACATAAAATATTTAGGATTAGTCAAACGCTATCATGAGATGATAAAACTAAATCCTAAACTTGTTTAGAACTGATATAGTCAATTTGCAATTTGGGCAAAAACATATTTTTGTTTCAGGAGGCATTCACTGATAACCCAGCCCTTGGTTTCGTTGATGCTGGGATCATCTTTGTTATCCATTCACCAAAGAAGGTGCCACAGTTTGATGGGTTAGGCTTGTTGTCACCTGTGGGAATGCACGCAAGGGTAACCATCCGCCAAGTGAAGGTAAATACTCGAGTCTGAGGAAATTAGGTGGGGTAGTGAATGCATCAAACACATAAGTAATGCTTTTCACTAGAAATTCCTTTCTCCCATGCCTGTAAAACACCATTAGAAATTCCAAAATTTCATTTCAGATTATTTTCCTTTATCTGAAGGTACATGATTAGTGGAAACAGAAACTATGTAAGTGAAAGCTGGGAAGCCTATCAAATCCAAACTTTACATTTCATTAGAAATGGAAAGGGTCATTAAGTATAAAGAGGTACCTAAGTTGCTGAGCTATGATTCTTCAATGAGACTATCTGGGAAGGAGAAAATTAGTGGGAAAAGCAGGAATCTTGGAGTCAGGCTGGTCTGGTAGGTTTCTGTTTGCCAGCCACTTACTTGCCCGGTAACTTCTTTAATTAGCTTCCTGAATTTGCATCTCCTCTCTGCACAAATAGGGAAGGGGTAATATTTTTCTTTCATAGTAAGGAAGTTTAAGTGAAGTACCATAAAGAAAGCACTTACCATTGATAGACACAGGAGACAGCCAAGGGCCCCTGGTGAAACCCTGCCTTCAAACCTAAAACAGCCTGAAGGCTGAAAAACTGGACTGCTTGTCCCAGATGAAGGCTGTCCTTTCCCACCTGATTCTTTCTGAAAAATGCCCACCTGCACATTGGGAGGAAGGGGTGGAGCCTTGGGAAGTTTGCACTGTTTGCAGTGGGGAGGAGCCTGGCCTCTCATGTTCCTGTGTGGTGGCCTGAGATTCAATCTGTGAGGTGGGAAACCTACCAGCAGGACTCTCTCTCACTTAGCTGAGAGTCATTTTTCTTTTTTTCTTTTCACCCAATAAATTCCATTTTCCTCACCCTTCTATTTGCCCGCGAGCCTCATTTTTCCTGGTCATGTGACAAGAGCCCAGTTTTAGCTGAACTAAGGAGAAAGTTCTGCAACACCATGTTGCCTGGCACATAATAGTTGCTTATTAAAGGATCTTTTTAAAATGTGATTTTCTTCACTGTTTTGTAGGTGAGCTGATTACTACACTAATATAACATTTACATAAATGATATTTTTTCCTTATATGAGTTGATTTTTAGAATACTCAATGTGTCTGACTTTATTAATTCACATTTGGGATATATGTTTAAGGATCACTATTATACTTAGCTTCAGGGAATTTCAGGTCAATAGAGTAGGCAAAATAGACAAATGTAACCAATTTTGGTTTTGAAAATCAAAGAGCTCTGAGAGGAAAATAAAAATGTGTACCAGCTTCTTGATGGAAAATAAGTGAATTGATGTAAACACATCTCCTGAACCCAGTATTTATCTTATCTTAAGACAGTTCATCAAGAATACCCTTGGGGAGAATGCAATCCTAACATCAAGCTGCAGAATTTTAGCAGCTACAGCACTTCTGGTTGCTTGAAGGAATGCAAAGCCCAGCACATAAAAAAGCAATGTGGATGTGTGCCTTTTCTTCTTCCTGGTAAATAAAGACTAACTGCCCCCTTACTTAACTAGACAGTTAAGTGTTTCTTAGAGGGTTACAAAAGGTCTGGGAGAAATAGAGTATTGAAATACAAATGGAATATTAAGTATTATTAAGTGTAATTACAGATGTTGCTGACCCATTCACAGAAAAATTATTATATTCTTAAGCCTGTTCCTTCTCTTTGCAGACTAAAATGACAACTAATAACAAAGTCACCAGAAGTTTAGTCCTAAATTTCTTTGAATTTTATGTTTATATTTACTTAATTTGAAACATAGCAAATCAACATATCACTAAATTGTTTTCCATTCTTCTGAAATTCTACACTGGAAAATTATCCATTTGCCAGGTACAACTTCGACTGACAAATTTTACATTATAAAATCATCGCAGAGATTTCTGGAAGAGAAAATTGCGATATCAGGGTGGGGCCCCAATACTTACTCCCAAAGGCTAAAATTTGATGGTCTCAAATATCTAAAACAGCACACCAAGATTTTCTTAATTTTGAAAGAAAAATTAGATCATGGATATGTCTTACCAAGCCTGAAGATTTCACTGTTGAAAAGTTATTTTCTTTGGGACTGTAAAATTAACTTCAGGCCTCCTTTTCATACAATTTGCAACTTTTCCAGAACCATGGGTGAGAGGCAAGCATTCAAGGAAGCAATGGAGCAGGGTGAATAAGAGCTGGATCTCAACCAGGCTGCTCATGTCGGCTCTACAATTTCTCCCCTAGGTGATCTTGAACAAGTGACCTAACCTCTCTCCTCTGCTGTCAAATGGAGGAGGGGATAATAATCCCATCTTATAGGGTTGTTGTAAGAATGAAAGGGGTATGTAAGTGGTTCAAATAGTGCCTGGCACAGAATATAGTCTATGTAAATGTCAGATATTTGTATTCAGGTCTCTTACATCCCCCTCCCACAGCATATCTAGAAAGATATATTGTAACACAATCTACCTGCCAAAATATTGTAACTGCCCAACGGGCTCACCATGCCTGCTGCCTAGACAGAGCTGATTTATCAAGACAAAGGAATTGCAATAGAGAAAAACTAATTCATGCAGAGCTGGCTGTGCGGGAGATTGGAGTTTTATTATGACTCAAATCAGTCTCCCTGAGTATTCGGAGATAAGAGTTTTTAAGGATAATTTGGTGGGTAGGGGACCAGTGAACCAGTGAATCAGGGGTTCTGATTGGTGAGATCAGAGATGAAATCATGTGGAGTTGAAGCTGTCTTTTTGCGCTGAGTCAATTCCTGGGTAGGGGTCACAAAACCAGATGGGCCAGATTTTTGTTCTGGGTGGTGCCAGCTGATCATTGGAGGCAGGGTCTGCAACATATCTCAAGCACTGATCTTAGCTTTTACAATAGTAATGTTATCACTATAAGCAATTTGGGGCGGTTTAGAATCTTGCACCCTCCAGCTGCATGACCCCTAAACATAATTTCTAATCTTGTGGCTAATTTGTTAGCCCTATATAGGCAATCTAGTCCCCAGGCAGGAAGGGAGTTTATTTTGGGAAAGGGCTGTTATTGTCTTTGTTTCAGAGCTAAACCATAAACTAAGTTCCTCCCAAAGTTAGTTCAGCGAACGCCCAAGAATGAACAAGGACAGCTTGGAGGTTAGAAACAAGATGGAGTCAGTTAGGTCAAATCTCTTTCAATGTAATAATAAAAGTAAAAAATATATAAAATATAAATATAAAATATGTATAAATATAAAATATATATAAAATATAAAAAATATATATTATATTATATATAATATAAAAAATAATAAAAGTAAAAAAGATATAAATTTTGCAAAAGTGGTTTCATTATTTTCCAGAGGTTTCCATAATCATCACATCCTTCTTTTTAGTATCCAGATTATTGATCTCTGGCCACTGCAAAAACTGCTGTTCTATATAAAACTGCTGGCTCTGGCTCTGATTTCTCATTCCTAATTTATTGGCAAAGTTGCTGGAAAGAAGTCTGAATTGTTTCATGCAGAATAATGTTGACAATTTTAAAAGTTATGATTATTAAACCAAAACCTACTGGCTAATGTGGACCAGAAACTAGGCAAGGTGCTATATAAAACACAAAGAATGATATCTGCATGAACTTTAGCATATATATCAAATGCATTCAGGAATATGATCTTATTTGGTTAGATTCTCACACATCCCTTTAAGTGTACTGATATATGAATAAACGGAAGATTCTAAACGTTAAACAAATTCGCTGAGGTAATTCCACTAACAATTTGAGGAAGCAATCTCCAAAACAGCTTTTCAGATATTGGTTATTTCCAAAATTTCATTGTTCTTTTGTTTGTTTGTTTTTATTTTTGTTTTCTGTGTTCCATCTACCATCTTTTTTTTCTGAATTGCTCTTTATAATGGAAGAAATATTATTGCCAGAGCAAGAAATAATTCAGAAAAATGAGGTTTTTTCCTAACTCAGTGTTGGAGGTAGTTTTTTTTTTTTACTTATTGTATTTTATTCATAAAGAGCACTTCCTTACAGTTAGCCAAACATTCCACAAATTGTCCGCACGTTGTAAGTGGACAATCTCCTTTGGTTATTTTCAAGATTACTGACTAAACATTGTGGCTAACTGCTGAGTCACATGGGCTATAGCAATAGACAAATATTGTATTAAGGCTAAAAGACTAAGTCTTTAGAATCAGCCGTAGGAGTAAACCCAGCTCTGATACATAGTGATTTTCTACTTATCTCACAATCTATAGTGGGTACTTAACAAATATTGGTACTTACCTGCCCCCTCCCCATCCTACTTCTGGAATGGCAGTCTGTCAGGAACGTGTGTGTGTGTGTGTGTGTGTGTGTGTGTGTGTGTAAATGGATAGAGGGAGCAGGATGGAAGATGTACAGAATGTGCCAAGTTTCCCCTAACTGTGTGGTCTTGAGCAAGCCACTCTTTCTGAGGCTTAGTTTCTTTATCTGTAAAATGAAAATTCTCATATGACAGGATTGTGAACCATATCAAATGAGATGATAACTGTGAAAGTAATTTTAAATTTGAAAACTACTCACATTTGAAAATTATTATTCCCGCTTAAAGATTTTAGAGTGATATAGACAGATGGAAAGAGGTATGGAAAGAAACAAAAGCATTATTCTTCCTCCCAACACATATTTTCACTGGATACTAACTTGATTCCATAGTTTTGCTTATGAAAGAATAGATGTTCATATAGAAGAATGGGTGGGTGGATGAATGGATGGATAGATGTAGGTAAGAAAGGTATTTTTGTCATTAGATCACTTATTTTACAAAATGTAAAGTCTCTATATGTTACACTTATTATTTTTAAGGATATGGGATAGAATGTGACCTACAAAAGTACTTCAGCTGTGTTTCTCCTGTACTTGGTAAGTGCTTAATTTACTTTTATTTTCAGGATTTATATTAAAGTTGCTCAAAGTAATATAAGACATTAAGTCAAACTATGGATAGCCCAGAAATTAAACAGAATATAGTATATAAGAGAAGATCTTTTTGTAAGTGTTCTTAAATAGTAGCTAACAAACACAGGCAGTATACACAAACAAAAACCCTCTGATATTAAGACACATCTAAATTTTTAAATTTTGTTCTTTTTTATAATCAAAATATCCTAGCTGCTTTTTATTGTTTCACAAATAAAACAAGTTTATTGTGAATAGTTAAAATACTACAGAATAGAAAGGAAATCATGTAAAAATAAATAGAAGTTTTATTACTGAGAACTCCTCTCACTGATTGGGAATAGTCCTTCATTCATTCACTTTATTGCATGCACTTGGCATATAAAATTTTTTCATAAATGGAATTATAACTGTACATGCCATATTTATTGGGGACAAGTTCTTATTAAAGAGCCCCCTCTTTTTTTTGCTTTCACACCTCTTACCTTAACCTGCAATAATCGCTAACACTTTAGTATATCCTACTGTAACTTTCTCCACATATACATCTCCATATTTATCACGTGAAGTCATTGGTTGTTTTATTAAAACAGAATCCCAATATATACCCTTCTATGCAACTTGCTTTTCTAACCCATTGTGGAAATATCTCCAGGGTAGCAGGAATAGATTTAAAAGGTTCTTTTCAATGGTTGTAAAATATTTCAAGGTATGGCTATAGGTAGAAGGAATCTTTTTTTATGTAGATCACAGGCTGAATATACAAAAGCCGTATTACTAACCAATAGACTTGAAATGATGTTGCCAGATTTCTTCAGATTTCTTATCCTTGTTGGAGGCTGGAGGGAGAGCTTGGGGAAAAAAACCATGCATGCAGTTTAGCGGGGACTGTTGTGGGATAAGGAGGTCAGAAGAGTGTGTGTGTTTGTGTGTGTGAGAGAGTATTATGTACATGAGAGTATATGTATGTAAGTGTGTGTGTGAGAGTATGTGCATGTGAGCCTATGTGTGTATGGGAGTGTATGAGTGCATGTGAGTGTAGGAGAAGAGTGGTGGTCTTTGCCAGCAATGCTAAAGAACTAGCAGATGCATGCTTTGACTTCTCCTAGAGAAGTCAAAGTTAGAGTCTGAAAAGCAAACCTAAAGTTGGTCAGTAACCAGGAGGTCTTGGTAAACAACTGATTCACGAGAACAAAGGGTTTCAGTATCAAAACCAAAGGAAAAACAAGAACCTGAGTATCTACCATGAATGAGGAGCAGTGAGAATGAGCACTGGGAGGTGGTCCAAAGGGAAGCTGGAGACAAACACTACCTGCTACAGGGACTTTTTTCTAGTATGCATTTGCATGGACAGCCTGGTTGCTCTGAAGGAGCCAAGAGAGATCACTGAACAGAGAACCTCAGTGGTTGATTTGGAAGTGACTGGGCCAACAGAAATAAGGAACTGCAAATACTCAGGAGCACATTTCTTACCATTGTATGTTGAGACAAATCTGAAGATGTTTACACACTTTCCATCTTTCTTCTGTCCAAATATCTGATATTTTACAGAAATAGACCCAGATATTCTTCTGTCCAAATATCTGATATTTTACAGAAATAGACCCAGATATTCTTCTGTCCAAATATCTGATATTTTACAGAAATAGACCCAGATACTTCCTGAAAATAATTTCTTAAATCCAATAAAGATCCCAATCCAGTGACTCAATGAATTCAAAGATTGGAACTTCCAGGCCTTATATTGTATCTCCTCTGCTATATTCAGAGTAACATATTTGTTTCAGAGTAAACACCATTTGTTGTTGGTAACCACCTTTTTTTAATATTGAAAGTGAAATGATAAACTTTATAAAACTATCCTACCCATGATGAAATATTTCTCTTCTCTGAATTCCCTGTCCTGATTTTCATTTCAGACCACATTGAATTTAAGGATTTATGTACAGTAGGAACACATAACTCTAGCTGCCCCGTTTCTTGTGAAGAAATAGAATACCCGGCCACTATTTCTTATTCCTCTTTTCCAAGTCAAAAAGCTTTGAAATATCTTTCCAAGAAGTTGAATCAAAGCCGGAAATACATCAGGTAACCTTACTAGCCTTTTAAATTATTGATAATTAACATAGATTTTTTTTTCTTTATTGAAAACCCTCAAAGACTCAGGAAATGAAATTCTAATCAATCAAGGGAGGCAATGGCTTTTTTCACTGAACTGACAATGAAACCATAGAATTTTAAAAGTAAATAAGATCATATCTTTCAACTCCTTACTGTAATTGTGTGAAAAGGAAAATGATGCTTGCTTGAGTAACTTGCTCATGATCAAACATTTATTGCCCAAACTGGGGAAAATAATAATGTTGACTGATAATAATGGATGCCTTAAAATATGAAAATTTCCTACCTGTACATTATACACTTTGAGTCTTCTAATAACTGTACAAGGTAGATGAAACAGAAATTAATATTCTAATTTTACAGAAGAGGAAACTGAAGGACATCGTATTTTAAGAAATGGTTCTGTGAAGGTAGTCAGGGGCCCAGAAAGAAGTTATGCCCAAGAACTTTGACGCTGGTCCCCATGTCTTTGCAACTCAGATACATGATTCCACGTCCCCTGATTAACTGAGAATTAAATTAGTCCTCTTTCTGCTATACCATACAGCCTCTTAAAAATTACAAATCAAGCTTCATAAATAACTCTTCGTTTTTTAACAGGGAAGCAACATTAGCATTTCTCTTTGTTTCTTCTTTGTATTTTTAGGACTAGGACATGAAGCAGCAATATATACAGTATATTGGTATTTGTAGTTATATCTATTAAAATAAAAATATGTTAACTAACTTAAGGTTGACGTACATTTTCACAGATGTGTGCATAATTTGGAAAGCATGCTTAGATTCCAATGTTAGCCTTGTGCTTACTTTAATAAAATAAAAAAAAATTCCCATGTAAACGCTGAGGTAACAAAGTGATCTTTACAGAAAGAAAAAGCATTTTCATCAAAACAGGGCTAATGGAGTGATTTCAAACAGCAGATAAAGTGATAAACAGGCTGTAAAATTTACAATTATGTTTGTTTACACTTCCGACTCCAGCACAGACATCTATTTATATATTTTGTTTTAATGTGGGAAACTGATTTGCTTTTAATATTGTTCCTGATGTATTTAAATATGACTTAGAAGAGCACTTCCTGTGTCTTTTGGTTGATAGAAATCTCCTGAGTTTCATAATTACTTAATATACAGAGAAAGTAGGCATGATTTTGGAGACATACTGGTGAATCAGAAAAGAAAGCCATGTATGAAACAAGAGGATCTTAGGGAATGCTGTTTTTTTTTCTTTTTTTTTTTTTTTCCAAAACTCAGATTATTCTTGAAACGGGAGAATTC